>NC_000020.11:29697630-29884750 GCF_000001405.40 Homo sapiens | reverse complement strand
CATGCTTGTTAAGAGTCATCATTACTCCCTACTCTCAAGTACCCAGAGACACAAAACACTGCGGAAGGCCACAGGGACCTCTGCCTAGGAAAGCCAGGTATTGTCCAAGGTTTCTCCCCATGCAATAGTCTGAAATATGGTCTCATGGGAAGGGAAAGACCTGACCATCCCCCAGCCTGACACCGATAAAGGGTCTGTGCTGGGGAGGATTAGTAAAAGAGGAAGGCCTCTTTGCAGTTGAGATAAGAGGAAGGCATCTGTCTCCTGCTAGTCCCTGGGCAATGGAATGTCTTGGTGTAAAGCCCAGTTGTATATTTCATCTACTGAGATAGGGGAAAAATGCCTTAGGGCTGGAGGTGGGACATGCTGGCAACAATACTGCTCTTTAAGGCATTGAGAGATTTATGTATATGAACGTCAAAAGCACAGCACTTTTTTCTTTACCTTGTTTATGATGCAGAGACATTTGTTCATATGTTTTCCTGCTGACCTTCTCTCCGCTATTACCCTATTGTCCTGCCACATCCCCCTCTCTGAGAAACGTCCGATAATGATCAATAAATACTAAGGGAACTGAGAGACTGGTGACGGCGTGGGTCCTCCGTATGCTGAGCGCCGTTCCCCTGGGCCCATTTTTCTTTCTCTATACTTTGTGTCTGTGTCTCTTTTCTAAAGTCTCTTGTTACACCCAACGAGAAACGCCCACAAGTGTGGAGGGGCAGGCCACCCCTTCACGTGTGCACATGGTGTGTGTGCTGTTTATGTGGTGTCTGTGTGTGGGGTGTGTGTGCGTGTGCACATGGTGTGGTGTGTGCAGTGTGTGTTATGAGTGACTGCTTCTCTTAGCATGTGGACATCAGTCTTCCAGACCAGCTTTCTCCATGTGTCTGGGAACATAAGAAACAAGTTTCTGCAATAATTGTTACACAGCTTTTCCAGAGAGTTACCAAATCTCTGTCGTGAGTGGGTATCTGCATCATTGCAGGAGGGAATGTGATGTCCTGGCTTGGCTCACACCCTCTGAGGGCTTAGGCAGGGTTCCTGCTGGATCCCTCACTGTGGCCAGAGAGGAAGGGCTCTGTTTCACCACAGGGCACCAGAAGAGGACTGGTGCGTGGGAAGACCAGGTAATCATAATGGTATTAATAATAGTGGTAATAATACTGTTTTATACATTGTATATGTCATAAGGATTTTAACTTTCATCTAATATAATTGTTGTAAAAATTTCCCCAGTTTGTTTTGTGCTATTTACTTGGTGTTGAAATGTGTAAGAATTTACGTTCTAGGTACGTTAGGTTTATCCCTTTTTATATAGTTTCTGTTTGCAGTTTTGATTTTAGAAGACATTCATTCATTCTCAAGGTCATAAAACACAGGTACATCTAATTTTATTTTCTCTCTTTTTTTTTTTTTTTTTACATTTAATACTGGAATTAACTTTTATGTAAGTTGTGGGACCAGGATTCAATTCTATCATTTTATATTCTCAAATCATTACCCAATATTTTAACATCATAAATGCAAAAATCGCTCTGTTTTGTGGGTTTAAATTATTACCCTGTTACTAGATAAAATTACACTCAATTTCTGTGTTTTTGATTCTCTTTCATTAATGTGTTTATTTTTGTGCCATTTCAAATTTGTTTAATTTTGAATACTAATAACAATCTTAAATATCTTATAGTAAATTTTATAAAATTGGCTCTCATGTGTGTTCAATATGTGGATTTAAAATAACATTTTCTTCTTCGAAAATATTTTTCTTGGAATTTTTATTGGAATTTGAGCATATTTTTAAATGATTTACAGCAAACTAAAGAGTTAATATTATTGAGTTCTCTCATCCAGAATGTGACATGCAAATTCCTCAAAACTCCTTTAATGCCATTTAGTCAAAATTAATATGTTAAATCAATATAAATTAATATAAATGAGTATAACTAATGATTAAAATAAATTAATGTGTTTGGCTCCACGTTTCTGTCTTCTGCCTTCTATCACTGATGTTTTTTATTCCTATCCTTGTTGTTTTCTATAGTTTCTTTTATTATGTATTTTTCTATCTTGTGATTTGAAAACTATATGACACATTGTAATGTTTTAATTTTTCTAATTTTTTGCTCTTAATTTTAACTAATTTTATTTTTTAGAGAAGTGCAGGTTCACAGCTAAATGGAGCAGAGAGTACAGACTTCTCATATGTCCCTTTCCCCACACACAGCCTCCCCACTACAGCTTCCTGCCTCACAGGAGCACACCTGTGACAACCAGGAACCTATCTTGACCCTTCAGTATCACTCAAAGTTTACAGTGCACATTCATACTTATTTACTCTTCACATTGTACTTTCTGAGTCTTGACAAAAGTATAATGGCAATGGGATATTATTCACCGCTAACAGGAGATGATCTATCAAGCCACAAAAAAATACATGGAGGAAACTTAAATGCATATTGCTAAAAGAAGAAGCCAATCCGAAAAGTCTACGTACTGTTCGATTCCAATTATATGACGTTCTGGAAACGGTGAAACTATGGGAACAGTAGAAAGATCAGTGGTTGCCATGGACCAAGGGGAAGGAAGAGATGATACACAGAGCACAGAGAATCTTCACGGCAGTAAAACCATTCTGTATGATACTGTAATGGTAGATATATACATTTGTAAAAATCTATCTTAATTTTAATCTTTTAAATTACGTTTGTTCTTTTTTTTTTTTTTTTGATGGAATCTTGCTCTGTCGCAAGGCGGGAGTGCAGTGGCACGATCTCGGCTTACTGCAACCTCCGCCTCCAGGGTTCAAGCAATTATCCTGCCTCAGCCTCCCGAGTAGCTGGGACTACAGTTGCCCACCACTGCGCCGGGCTAATTTTTGTATTTTTAGTAGAGACTGGGTTCACCATCTTGGCCAGGCTGGTCTCGAACTCCTGACCTTGTGATCCACCTGCCTTGGCCTCCCAAAGTGCTGGGATTACAGGCGTCAGACATGGCACCTGGCCGTTTTTGTTTTAAGAACTGCAGACAAGCTGGGTGCAGTGGCTCAAGCCTGTAATGGCTGCACTTTTGGAGGCTGAAGTGGCTGGATTGCTTCAGTCCCGGAGTTCAAGACCAGCTGGGCTACATAGTGAGATCCCGTCTCTACAAAAAAAAATTAAAAAAAATAGCCAAGCATAGTGCTGCATGCCTGTAGTCCCAGCCACTCAGTAGGCTGTGGTAGAAAAATCACTTGACCCAGCAGTTTGAGGCTGCAGTGAGCTATCATCATGCCACTGCACTCTGGCCTGGGTGACAGAGCGAAACCCCATCTCCAAACAAAGAACCACCAAAAACCTACAAGCATACTCAGAGGTATTGTGGGTTTGGTTCCAGAAAACTGCAATAAAGCAAATGTTACAACCAAAAACCTACAAGCACACCTCAGAGATAGTGTGGGTTTGGTTCCAGACCACTGCAATAAGGCAAATGTTACAACCAAAAACCTACAAGCACACCTCAGAGATAGGGTGGGTTTGGTTCCAGACTACTGCAATAAGGCAAATGTTACAATCAAGTTAGTTGCATAAACATTTTGTTTCCCAGTGCTTATAAAAGTTATGCTTAAACTATATTGTAGTCTAATGAGTATTTAATAATTATTAATTAGTAATTAATAGCACGTCTAAAAAACTGTGTACATACCTTAAGTTAAAATACATCAGTGCTAAAAAATGCTAATGAATATCTGAGCCTCACCAAGTCATAATCTTTTTGCTGGTGAGGGTCTTGCCTATATATTGATGACTGCTGGCTAATCAGTGTGGGGGCTGCCGAAGGTTGGGTGCCTGTGTCAATTTCTTAAAACAATGAAGTTTGTTCCTTTCACAAAAGATTTCCCTGTAGCATGTGATGCTGTTTGACAGCATTTTATCAACAGCAGAACTTCTTTCAAAATTGGAGTAAACCCTCTCAAACCCTGCTGCTGCTTTATCAACTAGGTTTATGGAATATTCTAAATCCTTTGTTGTCATTTCAACAATGTTTATAGCATCTCCACCTGGATTAGATTCCATCTCAAGAAAATATTTTCTTTGCTCGTCCACAAGAAGCAACTCCCTATTTGTTCAAGTTTCATCATGAGTTTACAGCAATTTCATCTCACCTTAAGGCCCTAATTCTAATTCTAGTTGTCTTGCGATTTCTACCACGTCTGCAGGGACTTCCTCCACTGACATCCTGAGCCCTCAAAGTCATCCATGAGGGCTGGAATCAACTTCTTCCAAACTCCTGTTAATGTTAATATTTCAACCTCCTCCCATCAATCACAAATGTCCTTAATGGCATTTAAGGATTGCTATTAAGGACATTTGTGATTCACGGGAGGAGGTTCAAATATCATGAAAGGATTAATGGTGAATCCTTTCCAAAAGGTTTTCAATTCAGTTTATCCAGATTCATCAAAGACATCGCTATCTATGATAGCTATACCTTTACAAAATGCATTTATTAATTAATAAAAACACTTGAAAGTCAAAACCACTCCTTGATCCACAGGCTGAAGGTAAATATTGTATTAGCAGCCATGAAAATAACATTAATTTCCAAGTACATCTCCATCTAAGCTTCTGGGTAGCTAGGTGAATTGTCAATAAGCAGCAATCTTTTTTTCCTTTTTCTTTTTCTTTCCTTTCCTTTTTTTTTTTTTTTTTTTTTTGACGTAGTTTCGCTTTTGTTGCCCAGGCTGGAGTGCAGTGGTGTGGTCTTGGCTCACTGCAACCTCCGCCGCCTCCAGGGTTCAAGCCATTCTTCTGCCTCAGCCTCCCGAGTAGCTGAAATTACAGGTATTACCACCCTGCCCCGCTATTTTTTTGTATTTTTATTAGAGATTGGGTTTCATCATTTTGGCCAGGCTGGTCTTGAACTCCTGACCTCAGGTGATCCTCGGCCTCCCAAAGTGCAGGGATTACAGGTGTGAGCCACTATGCCTGGCCAAGCAACAATCTTTTTAAAGGAATCACTTTTTTTTTTTTCTGAGCAGTAGGTCTCAATAGTGGGATTAAAATATTCAGTAAACTATGCTATTAACAGTTGTGCTGTCACCCAGACAGTGATGTTCCATTTCTAGAGCACAGAAAGAATAGATTTTGCATAATTCTTAAGGGCCCTGAGATTTTCAGAGTGGTCAATGAGCACTGGCTGTAACTTAAAGTCACCAGCTGCAGTGGTCCTCAAAGAGAGTCAGCCCATCCTTTGAAGTTTTGAAGCCAAGTGTTGATTTCTCTCTAGCTATGAAAATTCTACATCTTCACTAAGCTTGATCATTTCTAGCTCTGGACTTCAAGTGAGAGACGTGCAAGTCTTCCTTTCATTTGAGTTCTTTGAGGTCACTGTGGTTACTAATTGGCACCCCTGGTGGGTGTCACCCTCCTCCCTCCTCTATCCAGTTCACCCACAACAGGGCATGGGGAATTGCGCTTCCCACACCCCACATGCCCTGCGCCCCTGGGGCTCTCCCACAGGGGGCTTTCGTGAGCCAGGCAGCAAGGGCCATCCCCCTGCTCCAGCCCAGCCAGGCTGCGCAGGAAGAAGGACTCTCCCAACCTGCCTGGACATGTGGGGCTTTGTGTTCCCTGCCCTGGCTCCTCCAGAACTGGGGCTCTCCCATCCTCAGACTCCCTGGTGGCCTCCGCACCCCAACAAATGACAGGAAGACCAGAAACTGCTGCGCGACGGCCTGCTGGGCGCGTGTTCAGTTTGGGCCCCCTCAAGCTGAGTCACAGGGGCAAGGTGTGCTTGTGCCACCCACGTCCCACCGGAGTCCGTGGTGGTGCTGGAGCCCCAGGTTGCCAGGGCGGCGTGGGAACCCAAAGACGGGGCACCTCCACCTCCGGAGGCCTCCGCGTCAAGCACAGATGCCAGCCATCCAGGCGCCTCCCAACCGCTCCAGGAGCCGGGAAGCTCGTCTGCACTCACCTCCAGCCTGTTAGATGAGCTCCTGTAAACCCCAGAGTTTCAGCAAAAGGCACAACATTTCCTAGATCTGGCGCCACTGGGGGAGCTGAAGGACGTGGAAGAGCCCGTTTTGCTGGAACCACTCCTCAGCCAGAACGAACACTGGACTCTGCTGGAGGAGCAGGTTGGGGCGGGGTTGGGGCGGGCTGGGGGCAGAGCGGCGGCCTCTCTTTCGCGGTGAACCTCAGGCTTGGTATGGAGAGGCGTGTCTTCCCTTCCAGCTGACCTGCCTAGGATCCCTGAGTTCCAGGTCCAGCGATAGACTCCATACAGAGGACTGCTGTCAAGAATGACAATAAAGAATTCCTGAGCATCCCGGGGATCCCAGGGCCGGTCCAGGTACCCGGAAGTGGGCTGTCTACTGCGCATGCGCGGGTTTCCAGGCAGCAGCCTAGGATTTCTAACTAGCCCAGGCGGAGCTCTCATCCCTTTTTCCACCGCGTTCTTCAGTCAGGTTGGCGGAGACCTCAGTTCGCGAAACACTGGGCCGGGGCAGAAGCCAGGCCAGTTCTCTTTTCTGCGGCTCGACTCCTCTGCCTCTTCGCTCACCATCACTTGCCAACCCTTCTCCCGTCAGCCTCCTTGCCAGCACCATGGAGCGCCTTGCAACTAAATGTAGACCCGAGACCCCGTGCAAACCGAGGTGCTGCCCTTTCCAGGCAAGAGGAAAGGCAGGCAGAGATGAGGACAAGAACGGAGAGAGTGAGATGGAAGGATGGAGCTAGGAAAGGATGGGTGGAAGGAGGGACACCGGAAGGGAGAGAAAGAGGGAGGGAGAAAGGGAGAAAAAAACCGGGGGAGGGAAGGAAGAACAGAGGGAAGGATGGACCGAGGGACAAAAGGAGCAAGAAACAGAGAACGGAAGGCAGAGAGGAAAACGGTCTTCTGCCTCCAGAACCAACAGGACCCAGCACTCCGGGAAAATGTTGGGTGCCCAGTGCGGGCTAAGTGCTGGGCCCACAGCCCTGTTGGCTGGCGGGGCGCTCAGCGGCCCTCTGGATCGCCAGCCTGGGTTACTTAATCCCAGAGCAATTCAGACCAATTCCGTTTCCGAAGGAATGAGCGAATTCCCCAGAGAGCAATGAGCTGAGACTCAGGTGGTTGTCTGTTTTTCATCCACATGGTTCACAGATGACATATCTCCACGTTGAGCCCTGCAACAGAGCGCGAGGCGGATAGTCCCATCCACACAGGAGCCACACTTAGGCCAACTGAAGCGTGATTCTGGATTCCACGTTTCTTTACCCTCTGCAAAGGTGCCTGTTGCTCAAGTTTCTGCCCCCTGAAAGCGTGACCATGTTGACTGTTTGTTTCCCTAGCTCTGTGGGGTCCCAGAAACTTCCAGGAATGCGTGGAAGACCAGCATTGTGTCAGTGCTCCCCTTTCAAGTTTTCAAACAGGCTATATTGGAGACTCCCCATTTTGCAGGAAACAGGAATCCATCGTCAGGCCGTGAGGCACGGGATCTTTCTTTTCTCTGTGGTTTCGCTCTCGTTGTCTATGTGAAAATGAACGAGATCCACACACCTGCGTGTGTGAGAATATCACGGCAACTGTGACACCCATGCACTGGCAATAGAGTTGACAGCCTGATCCCAGGACTAAGGTACTGATGGACATCCAGACTCACCCACCACAATCATTAGCACACCCACTCCCAAACACACAGACACACATGGGCGCACGCGCGGGAACACAAGCACACACACAGACACAGAAAGACACAGACAGCTTGAAGGAGAGCAAGGGACAGAGGGATGGAGAGATAGAAACGGAAGGAGAGAGAAACAGCTATCCAGAGAGAGACAGAGAGGAACCTGGGAGATTGAGAGAGAGAGAGCAAGGTGGAGAGGGAAGTAGAGAAAGGGAAAGGGTGAGGGAGCTAGAGAGGGAGAGCAACAGAGCCTTGGAGAGGGAGGCTCTATCTGGTAGACAGGGGCCCCTTTGGCCAGGGTAGGGTGGAAGGTGTCTGGGACGGGCTGGAACAGGGGGGCAGGGCCGCCCACGCGGGAAACCCAACAGAGCCCTGAGACGTGTTTTTACTTGGATTGGTTGGTTGCTTTGGGGGTGCGTTTCGTAGCCTCATTCCTTTGTTGGCTCCTCCCTTTCCTCTTGGTACTGTGGGCCCTGAAAGTTGTAGAGTGCGCCCCTCACTGTGGCAGGAGCAGTGGCGCTGAGCATGCCCACGGTTCGCGGCTTGGGTCTCTCTCGTTTTCCGGGTGGTGTGGCCCTAGACAATGGCAGTGGCGCCTGGCTGGCCCAAGAGTCCAGTCCAGCTACGCCCGCCTGATTCCAGGCGTCATCAAAACCCGGGGCCACAAGGCTGGGATCAGGCACCCTAGAGCCACTTTCCCCTGGCCGGACTGCTCTCCCCCTCTACGCCCAAGCACCACCAGTCGCCGCGCTGCTCTTTCCGCTGACCTCCCAGAGCATCCCGCTGTCGCCGGCGGCCAGACCACGTGCGAGACCGCCAAGGCGCCAGAGGCCTCCATCCACTGCCAGGGCTCTGGACTCTCCAGGCGGCCACCCTCTCGCTGACACTCCAGGCCTTCCCCCGGCTCTCCAGCTCCAGAGCTTCCAACACCTGGGGCCCGCTCAGGAAGGGGTGTGCTCCGAGGCATCAGGGCCCAGGGCCCACTGTCCTGGGGTCCCCTCCGGTCCTCCGCCTTGCCGTGGAACAATTATTTTGGATTCCTTGCTGCCCCTCCTGCAAGGACCCCTCTTGCCCCACACACCCAGAGCCACCTGGGCTGACCGGGGCGAACAGCCGGCCCAGCCCCGCAGGCCATGTTTCTTACAACGCCTACACAATCGTCGATTGTTCCGAAAAGGACCTGCCATGGCCAATGGGGCAGGAAGGCTCTGCTTTGCCCCTCGCCAGCACTAGAGCCCCGGCAGCCTCATCCCGGGAAAGAGGGGCTGACGGACACCCAGACACACCCCACCACTACCACGAGCAAACCCACCCTGACACACACACGGATACACACGGGTGCACGCGCGCAGACACACACACACACGGACACAGACACACCACACCCGGGCACACACACACGGACACACAAAGACACAGACACAGATAGCTTGAAGGGAGACCACCCCTCATATTGTCTTATGGCCAATTTCTGCCTCCAAAGAAAGAAGAAGTAAAATCTAAAAGGCAAAAATGAAATCCACAGGCAGACAGCCCTGCGCCACACCCTGGGCCTGCTAGTTAAAGATTGACCCCTGACCTACTCGGTTATGTTATCTATAGATTACAGACATTGTATAGAAAAGCACTGTGAAAATCCCTGTCCAGTTTTGTTCTGATCTAATTACCGGTGCATGCAGCCCCCAGTCACGTACCCTCTGCTTCCTCAATCCATCACGAACCTCTCACGTGGACCCCCTTAGAGTTGTAAGCCCTTAAGAGGGACAGGAATTGCTCATTCAGAGAGCTAGGTTTTTGGAGAAGTGAGTCTGCCGATGCTCCCAGCTGAATAAAGCCCCTCCTTCTACAACTCGTTGTCTGAGGGGTTCTGTCTGCAGCTCCTCCTGCTACAGAAGGAGAGCAAGGGAGAGAGCGATGGAGAAATAGAACCAGGAGAGAGAGATACAGCGATTGAAAGACAGAGAAGGGGGGAGGAGAGACAGAGAAGGGGGGAGGAGAGACAGAGAAGGGGGAAGAGAGAGCTCCACAGTAGAGCGCGAGGTGGAAGGGGAAGTAGAGAAAGGGAGAGGGTGAGGGAGTGGTAGAGTGACAGCAACAGAGCCTTGGAGAGGGAGGCTCTGCTCAGGTAGACAGGGCACCTTTCCGCAGGCAGGGGTGGGGTGGAGGGTGCTTGGGCCGGGCTAGAACAGGGAGTCAGGGCTCCCCACCCGGGAAAACCAACGGAGCCCTAAGACGTGTTTTATTTTCTTGAATTGGTTGGTTGCTTTGTGGGTGCATTTCATAAGGTCCTTCCTTTGTTTGCTTCTTTCTGTCTCCTTGTTGCCCTGGGCTCCGAGATTTGTAGAGTGTTCTCCTTTGTCTGGAGGGAGCCGTGGTGCCAAGCTTGTCCACGGGGCGAGGCCTGGGTCTCTCTCCTCTCCTCAGGACTGGAGTTCACACGAAGTCGGTGGTATTGGGAAACCGGGTGCACAGGGACGGATTTCCTCGTGGCTGGCGAAGACAATCTCCTTCCCCTGGGGAAAGCAGCCCACGGGTTCTGGAGCGGAGGTCTTGGCTGGGGTATGTGGGACCCGCTGCCCCTGCCCGCCCCTTCCCCCGGCTTGGACGGTTACAGTGTCTCTGGATGAATGAATAGAATTGCCTGGGAGTCCGGGGAGTGTGAAGACACCCGGGACCTCAGGGAACCCGTGCCTGCGCCCTCGGGGTCTGTCCCGTCCTGCCCGGGTTGGAGCCAGGCTCCTGGTGGGGCTGCCGCGAGTCGGAAGAGGTAGGATGCTGCTGCCTGGCGGTGCTGCAGTGGCGGATCTTCAGGAGGAGGTCCTGGGCTTCGGCTGGGGCGCGGGGGCGGTCAAGGGGGAGCAGAGTCGCGGGGGCGGTTGGGAAGCACGGAGGCAAAAGGGGGAAAGAGGGAGAGAGCGGGAAGCCAAAAGCCTATGGTACCGGGTATTACCAGGTGGAATCCCATCCAAATACTAACCAGGCCCCACTCTGCTTAGCTTCAACAGATCAGAGGCGAGCGGGCGCGTTCAGGGTGGTGTGGCCTAGACGCCAGCAGCGGAGCCTGGCTGCCCCAAGAGCCCGGCCCAGCAACGCGCGCACGACTCCAGGCATCACCGCCACCCCGGGGCCGCTGGTCTCGGATCCGGGACCCCCAGAGGCTGTCGCCGGTGCCCCCAGGCAGCTGTCTCCCTCTACACCCGAGCACCGCCGGCCTCCCAGAGCGTCCCGCCGTCAGCGGCGGCCAGACCTAGCGCAGGACCAAAGTGGTGCCGCCCTGCTGTTGCTGGGGGGCGCCAGAGGCCTCCGTCCCCTGCCCAGGCTTCCAGCTCTCGGGGCGGCCTCCTTTCAGCCCACGCTCCAGTCCTTCCGCGAGCTCCCGAGCTCTGGAGCTTCCACCACATCGGCTGGCTCAGGACTGGTCGTGCTCATCCCTTAACTTTGTAACTTTTTGTTTCTATTTATATTTTATTGTGCTATGTCTTGAAATGTTGTAGTTATTACTTTTGATTGGATATTATTTAGTGTTCCTACTTTGAATAAGAGTAGTTTGCACACTACACAGCTATAGCGTTATAATATTCTGTTTTGTTTTGTATCCTATTAGCAGTGAGGATTTTTTTTTTTACCTTTAGGTGATCATTTATTGCTCGTTAATGTCCTTTTCTTCCTGATTGAAGTACTCCCTTTAGCATTCCTTTAGGACAGGTATGGTATTCATAAAATACTTCAGCTTTTGTTTGTCTGAAAAAGTCAGTATTTCTTCTTTTTATTTGAAGAAAATTTTCACTGTATATTCTATTCTAAGGTAAAACTTTTTTTCCTTTAATACTTTAAATATTTATTGCTTCTCTCTCCTGGCCAGTAGAGTTTCCACTGTAAAGTCTGCTGCCAGACGTGTTGGAGCTCCGCAGTATGTTATTTGTTCCTTTTCTCTTTCTTCGTTTAGAACTTTTCTTTATCTTTGACTTTTGGAAGATCTATTGAAAGCTTTGAAGTAGTCTTTTTTGGGTTAAATCTGCTTAATATTCTATAACATTTTTGTAGGTGGATATGGATATCTTTCTCTAGGTTTGGAAAGTTCTGTGTTATTATCCCTTTGAATGAATTTTTCTACCCCTGCCTCTTTCTCTACATCTTCTTTAAAACCAATAACTCTTAGATCTGTCTTTGTGAGGCTATTTTCTAGATCCTCCCCTGCCTCTTTCTCTATATCTTCTTTAAAACAAATAACTCTTAGATCTGTCTTTGTGAGGCTATTTTCTAGATCCTGTAGGCATGATTTGTTGTTTTTATTCTTTTTCTTTTGTCTCTTCAATGTATTTTCAAAGAGCCTGTCTTCAAGCTCACTATTTCTTCTGCTTGATCCATTCTTCTGTTACATGGTTTAATGCATTTTTCAGCATGCCAATTGCATTTTTCAGCTCAGAATTTCAGCTTTATTTGCTGTAACTATTTCAATCTCTTTGTTGAGTTTAGCTGATAAAATTTGGAATTTATTTACTTTGTTATCTTAAATTTCTTTCAGTTTTTTTTTTTTTAAATACAGCTATTTTGAATTCTCTGTCTGAAACATCACATATCTCTTTTTCTCCAGGATTTGTCCCTGGTACCTTATTTAGTTCACTTGGTGAGGTCATGTTTTCCTGGACAGTGTTGATGCTAGTAGATGTTCTTCAGTGTCTGGACATTAAAATCTTGGGCATGCAGCACCATATGAGAGGTTTAAAAAATAAAATTTAAAGAGAGAAAAGGTGAGTATTGTAGTCTTCATTGTCTGAGCTTATATGTAGCTGTCTTTCTTGGGAAGGCTTTTCACATATTTGAAAAGAGTTGGGTGTTGTGATCTAAGCCATATCTGCTTTATGGGGCACCTTATACCCAATAATGCTGTAATTCTTCCAGACTCAGAGAAGTACCACCCTGACAGCCTTCAACAAGATACAGGAGAATTTTCTGGATTACTAGCCAGAGACTCTTTTTCCCTACCCTTATTTTCTCTCAAAGATACAGAGTCTTTCTCTCTGTTCTAAGCCACCTAAAGCTGGGAGAAGAAAGACACAAGCACCACTGGCCACCACCACTATGATGCCCTGGATCAGACCTGAAGCTAGCACAGCACGGGTCTTGCTCAAGTCCTGCTGCATGCACTTTCTGACGACTGCCTATGCTCACTCAAGGCTTTTGGTCTCTACAATTAGCAGTTGGCAAAGCCAGACAGGCCTGTGTTCTTTCCTTTAGGGCAGTGAGATCCCTCAGTCCCTGGCTGGGTCCAGAAGTGCCATTCAGAAGTCAGGGCTTTGGCCACTTTTTAATAGGGTTTTTTGTTTTTCTCTTGTAAATTTAAGTTCCTTATATTGAATATTAGATCTTTGTCAGATACTTAGTTTGTAAATATTTTTTCCTCATTCTATATGTTGTCTGTTCACTCTATTGATTATTTCTTTTGCTGAGCAGAAGTTTTTAAGTTTAATTAGATCCCACTTGTCAATAGTTGTGTTTGTTGTTTTTGATGTCTTTATCATGAAATCTTTGCCTCTTTCTATGTCCAGGATGGTATTGTCTATGTTATCTTCCAGGGCTTTTATAGTTTTGGGTTTTACATTTAAGTATTTAATCCATTTGAGTGATTTTTGTGCATGGTATAAGGAAGAAGTCCAACTTCACTCTTCTGTATATGGCTAGCCAGTTATCCCAGCACCATTTATTGAATAGGGAATCTTTTCCCCATTGCTAGTTTTTGCCAGCTTTGTCAAAGATTAGATAGTTGTAGGTATGTGGTCTTACTTCTAACCTCTCTATTCTGTTCCACTGGTGTATGTGTCTGTTTTTGTACTAGTACCATGCTGTTTTGCTTACTATAGTGCTGTAGTGTAGTTTGAAGTCTGGTAATGTGATGCCTCAAGCTTTGTTCTTTTTGCTTAGGATTGCCTTGGCTACTTAGGTTCTTTCTTGGTTCTATATGAATTTTTGAATAGCTTTTATCTACTTCCATGAAGCATGTCATTGGTAGTTTAATAGGAATAGCCTTGGGCAGTACAACCATTTAAATGATATTAATTCTTTCTCTCCATTAACACGGAATGATTTTTCATTTATCTGTGTCTTCTCTGACTTCTTTGAGCAGTGTTTTGTAATTTTCATTGTAGAGATTTTTCACCTCCCTGGTTAGCTGTATTCGTATGTACTTTATTCTTTTCATGGAAATTGTGAATAAAATTGCCTCTCTGATTTGGCTCTTAGTTTGGCTTTTCTTGGTGTATAGGAATGCTAGCAAATTTTGTACATTGATTTTGTGTCCTTAAACTTTGTGGAAGTTGTTTATCAGCTTAAGGAGTTTTTGGGTCACAACTATAGGGTTTAGATAGAGAATTATGTTGTCTGCCAACAGAGGTAGTTGGACTTCTCTTTCTATTTAAATACCCTTTATTTCTTTCTCTTGTCAGATTGCTCCAGAAGGGACTTCTAATACTATGTTGAATAGGAGTGGTGAGAGAGAGCATCCTTGTCTTGTGCGGGTTTCAAGGAGGATGCTTCCAGATTTTGCCCATTTAGTATAATGTTGGCTGTGAATTTGTCATAGATGGCCTTTATTATTTTGAGGTATATTCCTTTGATACCTCATTTATTGAGAATTTTTAACATGAAGCTTTGTTGAATTTTACTGAAAGCCTTTTCTCCATCTATTGAGACAATCACGTGGTTCTTATCTTTAGTTTTCTTTATGTTACGAATCACATTTTATTGATTTGCCCATGATGGACCAACCTTCCATTCCAGGGAAGAAGCTTACTTCACTATGGTGAATTAGCCTTTTGATGTGTTGCTAGGTTCAGTTTGCAAGTATTTTATTGTGGATTATTGAATGGATGTTCATCAAGGATACTGGCCTGAAGTTTTCTTCTTTTGTTGTGTCACTGCCAGGCTTTGGTATCAGGATGATTCTGGTCTCGTAGAACAAGTTGGGGAAGAGTCTCTCCTCCTCTATTTCTTGAAATAGTTTCAGTAGGACTGGTACTTGTTCTTCTTTGTACATCTGTTAAAATTTGTTAATTTATCAGGTCCTGGGCTTTTTGGGGGGGTTGATAGGCTATTTATTATGGATTCAATTTTTGGAGCTCATAATTGGTCTGCTCAGAGACTGAATTTCTTCCTGGTTCAGTCTTGAGAGAGTATATGTGTCCAGGAATTTATTAATCTCTTCTAGGATTTCTAGTTTGTGTGTATAGAGGTGCTCGTAGTAGTTGCTGGTTGTTATTTTTATTTCTCTGGGGTCAGTGGTAACATTCCCTTCATCATTTCTAATTTTGTTTATTTGAATCTTCTCTCTTTTCTTCTTTATTAGTCTAGCTAGTGCCCTATCTTATTAATTTTTTCAAAAAACCTTGATTAAGTGATCTTTTGATCAGTTTTTCATGTCTCAATTTCCTTCAATTCAGCTCTGATTTTAGTTATTTCTTGTCTTCTATAAGCTTTGTGGTTGAGTTCTTCTTGCTTCCCTAATTCTTTCAGTTGTGATGTTAGGTGGTTAATTTGAGATATTTCTAATTTTTTTGATATGGGTATTACTTCTTATGCCCTACTCTAACTTTTGTCCTTCTAGAAAACTCCGAACTATGCTTCTAAACCAATTCAGACTTTCTCAGTGAATCAATCTGGTCTCCCTGAGGCAAAGTTAGAAATTTTCCATTACACATGGTTCTCTTTCTCTGTAAGAATATCTAATGCAACAATGCAAGTGTTTATTTCCCTCCTGGTAATGTGGGGAACTCCTTTTGGCTGAGACCAAGACTTAAAACCTTGTTCTTTCAACATTAATGAAGATCTATTTAGAAAGCCTCCATTTTTACAGAAAAGATATATAGACGCCAATGAAAATAAATATGAAATTATATGACATACAATTATATTGTGGAAAGACTGAATAAATGAATGAACTAAACTCTAAGAAAAAAGATAATGATATAAAATGATATAGAAGTAAAACCCTTGGCTGATATAGCATAATTAATGTATCAGTAAAGTATGTACATTGTAGAAGGAGCAGGAAGACAGCATAGAGAGTGAGACTTGACCAAAAGCTTTAAAGAAAGTTCTATATCCTTAAACGAGATTAAAGTGGACTCAGGAAAACATGGGCCACATGAGGGGAAGGACACATGTTCCAGACGGGCCAAAGCTCAGAGCATCTCTACCTTCTCCAGGAGGAAAGGGGAGGCAAAGCAACAGGCAGAAGACAGCACGGCCAGGTAAGCACAGGGCACCCAGACCAAGCCAGGTGTGCTCCGTCATACAGGTAGTGAGGAGCCACTGCCAGGTGGGCTTTATTCATTAGTTTGTTTTGTTTCCTTTAGTAATGAAGACACATGATCAAATTTGACCTTTGTAAATGTTGCTGCAGCTGAACATAAAGATGGATAAAACCAGTGTTTTAAAAATTATGTTGTATACAGCACTAGCCTCAGTGAGATACTAGTAGAACACACAGGCACATACATGCACACACCCTCACACTGAGCCCAGATTATTCTGGCAAATGTTGGGTTAAGCAAACTAAAAGAAACATCTTTAGTGCTGGACTTCTCAGAACCTGGAATGTGGCTATATGGCTCATAAAACAGCAAGGTTAAGACAGAGCATGTCATTTTTTCCCAGAAATGTTGTAACACTTTCCTTCCCTTGGCTTCAGTGTCACCTTCTTTCTCCTGATTCTCCATCAACCTCTTTGGCTGCTCCTTCTTGATTTCCTTTTTGACAATCTGCTGCTGCTCCGCCATTCTCTTTTCATTCCTCATGGATTTCTCAAGTGTGTTTCTATTCCTGCATTTTAAACTTTCCTTGTTTTTCCTGATACCTCTCCTTGTCTGAACCTCCCCTGTTCTAAGGCAGGTGTTCCATCCGTGTGCGCTTTTGGCATCCTGGGATGCTCCCAGCATGTTCGCTGCCACACTCCATCAGGTTTTCTCAGCAGATTCCGCGAGGGTAGCAGCCTTGTCTCCACCTTTCCTTCAATACTCAGCACATAACACAGAAGCTGACTCCATAACATTTAGTTGGCCAACTGAGACTAAATGTATGTTCCTCTAGATCTTAAAAAGTTACAGAAACATAGCACAATAGACAAAAAAAAAAATCTTAAGTCAGGAGTTCTCTATATATATACAAGAGTTTGAAGTCATTATGAAAGCAAAGAGAAACAGAAACGGTCACAGAATTCCCTAAGATAAATTATTTTGTTTTAATCTTCAATTCATCATGTGAGATAAACAAGACCATGCGTTATTGTAAATATTTCTAGCTTACAACACAATGACCTGATTTTTATTGTTTGAAATAACTGCAATATAAATCATTTAATCAAAAATTGCATAAATAATCCTTTCAAATAAAATTCTGCCTAAATTTTACATTACTCATATGTTCAAATGATAATGAACTCATAAGTTTTTCTAATACCTCAGTCAAAACATTGTACTGATTCCAGGTGTGGGAATCGTATCGGAAAGTTATTTTACAGATGGGGAAAATGTACCTACGTGACATTGGTCTTTGCACCACTGTTCCCTTTTGGGTCACGAAAAAGCTGTTCCCTTAAAATCCTAAAAACTCTTCTGTCAGGTCTGAAGGGTGGGTGGGAAACACAGTTTTACAAATTTTAGCCACAGATGTTTTATTCCTTGCTTAAAGCAGTGACTAGATAAAGGCCAGTAGAAGAGTCTACAATGTTTCTTTAGAAGCGTACGCCTGAGAACATCTTCCTGAAACACTCCCTTGTCTCTGCCCAAAATCACCTTAGGTAGGAAAATCACAACTCAGCAGGCTGAGGAGATCCAAGGGGATCACTGAGCTCTGAGGCTTATGAGAGAAGAGAGAGAGGTCTAAGACTTTTTTTGTATAAATTTATGGGTTCCAAGTGCAATTTTGCTGTAAGCATGGATGGCATAGTGGTGAAGTCAGGGCTTTTAGGTATCCATCACCAGAATAATGCACATTGTACCCATTAAGAAATTTCTCACTATTCACCTCTTCCATCCCCTCACCCTGCTGAGTCTCCATTATCATTCCATTCTCTACATCAATATCTACACACCTTTTAGCACCCGCTTATGAGTGATAAAATACGATGTTTACTCTGTGTCTGGCTTGCTTCACTTACAACAATGGCCTCCAGTTCCATCCATGTGTCTTCAAAAGTTATGATTCTATTGCTTTTTACGCCTGAATAGTATTTCATTGTGTATATTTTCTACATTTTCTTTCTCCAATCATTTGTTGATGGACATTTAGTTTGATTTTATATCTCTGCTACTGTGAATAGTGTTGCAACAAATACACAAGTACAGTTATCTTTCTCATACATTGATTTCTTTTCCTTTGCATAAATACTCAGTGGTGGGATTGGTGAATCAGACAGAGCCAATAGATGATCAGTAATGGTGGCCAATCATCAGCTAGAAAGAAAGTGCTTAGCAGGGCTTGAAAACACCGAAACTCTGAGACAACTGAGCTTCAAGAACTTCAACAGCCCTGAGTGAAAAGTCCAAACACGTTTATGTACCATTCAAGGACGCTTTATTGTCTGTCCTTTGTGCATCTCAGTGGTCTCTTTTTACCACACTGTCTATATACTGCATGAGCCATTTATATGAAACTATCTGACACTCCAAGGCATCTTATACTATATATCCAACCTAGTATATATACTATATACTGGGGATACTCTATGTATCCCTAGTACCTAGCACAGTCCTGGCATATACTTTGCTACTAAACGTTTGCAGAATGAAGGAATTATCTTGTATCCAGGTTCCAAGATTTAAGGTGATTCTTCACTAAAAAAAAGTATTACAGTTCACAAATAATCTATTACCCTTTTTACAAATGGGATCGATTTTAATCTTATCTCCTAATAACATTACTTTCATTTACTCTGATCTAAATATACTGTCTTAAGAGAGCAATAAGAAAGAGATTTGAAGCTGGAGTTTGAAGAATTGTACATGGTCCTGTGATACCCTACCTTGTTTTAACCTGAGTGACTCTCTCCTAGCGGAGAGAGAGCCGGACAGACTCTATTTTAGTTTCTTCAAGTGCAGCCCCCTTTACCTCCCTCCCTTAAGGCCATAACTAGTGTAAATTGACTAAAAGCACGTCCAGGAATGCACTTACTGATAAGATATTGAGGCAAGCTGCACCAGCAGCTCCTGGGGACGCACTCAGTGAATATCACACAAAACCCCCGCATTTCTCTCTTTGTGATAGTTTAAGCCCCTGCACCTGGAATGGTTTATTTGTTTTGTAACTGCTTTTATAACCAATTAATTTTTTAACTATTTGCCAGCTCTGCTTCCGTAAAAATTGTTTCAGTTAAACTCCCTCCTCCCCTATTTAGAGTGCGGAATAAAAACAAAACCAGCCCCTTCCTCGGGGCCAAGAGAATTTTGAGTGTTAGCTGCCTCTCGGTCGCTGGCTAATAAAGGACTCCTCAATTTGTCTCAAAGGGTGGCGTTCGTCTATAACTCGCTTGGTTACAACAGTCCACACTGTGGCCTGAGGTGCATCGCGCACCTGAGCTTCATCTGTTAGGTATGTCAGGGAAGATAAGCAGGGCGAGAGTGGCCTCATCAGAGGACCCCAGATCTCTGGCTTCCCCATCTGGCAAGTGCACTTCTGTGAACAAATACTTCAGAGCCAGATGACAAGAACGGCCCAAGCAGTCCACCAGGGAAACCTAGGCCCAGTGTACATCAATGCAGAGCATCAAGCACGGTGTAACAGGTGCACAGTTGCCTATTCCTGTTCAGAGACGACTGCATCCCACACACTGTAAAATGAGGAAATGCAGAGAAGCAAATGTAACCGAAGAAGACAGCAGGAGCAACAAGGAGGGACAACAACGACCTAGGAAGTCACCATGCCAGAGACGCCTGGGCCCCACACTAGGCTCAGTGCCTGTTATACTCTTGGGACCCAGCACTTTCCCTCTCAATCTCAATGCATACTTGGTATTTTTTGTTGTTTAAAATATTGTCCTTAGTTTTCACCTTTCTTTGTGATGCGTTAGTTCATCTCACAGAGTGGAACGTTTCTTTTGATTGAGCAGTTTGGAAATACTCTGTTGTAGAATCTGCAAGAAGAACATTGGAAGGCTTTGTGGCCTATGTTAGAAAAGGAAATATCTTCAAATAAAATCTAGACAGAAGCAATCTCAGAAACTACTTTGTGATGTGTGCATTCACCGCACAGAGTTAAACCTTTGTTTTGATTAAACAGTCTATAAAATCTCTTTTTGTAGAATCTGCAAGTGAACATTTGGAGCTCTTTGTGGCCTATGGTGGGAAAGGAAATATATTCACATAAAAACTAGACAGAAGAATTATGAGAAACTTCTTTGTGATGCCTGAGTTCATCTCACAGAGTTGAAACTTCCTTTTGATTGAGCATTTTGGCACCAATCTTTTGCAGAATCTGCAAGTGGACATTTGGAGCACTTTGCGGCCAAAGTTACAAAAGGAAATATCTTCACATAAAATCTAGACAGAAGCAATCTGAGAAACTTCTTTATGACGTGTACATTCATCCCACAGAGTTAAAACTTTCTTTTGATTGAGGAGTTTTGAAACTCTCTTTTTGTAGAATCTGCCAGTGGACATTTTGAGGATTTTTAGGCCTATAGTGGGAAAGGAATTATCTTCACATTAAAACTAGACAGAAGAATTCTGAGAAACTTCTTTGTGATACGTGCGTTCATCTCACAGAGTTGAATCTTTCTTTTCATTGAGCAGTTTGGAAACACTCTTTTTGTAGAATCGGCAAGTGGATATTCAGAGCGCTTTGGGGCGTATAGTAGAAAAGGAAATATCTTCACATAAAATCTAGACAGAAGCAATCTGAGAAACTTATTTGTGAAATGTGCATTCATCTCACAGAGTTAAATCTTTCTTTTGATTGAGGAGTTTGGAAACTCTCTTTTTGTAGAATCTGCAAGTGGATATTCTGAGCGTTTTGAGGCCTATATTGGGAAAGTAAATATCTTCACATAAAAACTAGAGAGAAGAATTCTGAGAAACTTCTTTTTGATGTGTGCATTCATCTCACAGAGTTGAATCTTTCTTTTTATTGAGTAGTTTGGAAACCCTCTTTTTGTAGAATCTGCAAGTGGACATTTGGAGTGCTTTGTGGCCTAAGGTAGAAAAGGAAATATCTTCACATAAAATCTAGACAGAAGCAATCGTAGGAACTGTTTTGTGATGCGTGCATTGATCTCACAGAGTTAAACCTTACTTTTGATTGAGCAGTTTTGAAACTTTCTTTTTTTAGAATCTGCAAGTGGACATTTGGAGCGCTTTGAGGCCTATGGTGGAAAAGGAAATATCTTCACATAAAAACTAGAGAGAAGAATTCTGAGAAACTTCTTTTTGATGTGTGCATTCATCTCACAGAGTTGAATCTTTCTTTTGATTGAGCAGTATGAAAACACTCTTTTTGTAGAATCTGCAAGTGGACATTTGGAGCGCTTTGTGGTTTATGGTAGAAAAGGAGATATCTTCAGATAAAATCTAGACAGAAGCAAACTGAGAAACTTCTTTGTGATGTGTGCATTCACCTCACACAGTTAAAATTTTCTTTTGATTGAGCAGTTCTGAAACGCTCTTTTTGTAGAATCTGCAAGTGGCCATCTGGAGCACTTTGAGGCCTATGGTGGAAATGGAAATATCTTCACATAAAAACTTGACAGAAGAATTCTGAGAAACTTCTTTTTTATACATGCATTCATCTCTGAGAGATTAACCAGTTTGGAAAGATTCTTTTTGTAGATTCTGCAAGTGGCATTTGGATTGCTTTGACCCCTAATGTAGAAAAGGAAATATCTTCACATAAAATCTAGACATAAGTAATGTGAGAAATTTCTTTGTGATGTGTGCATTCATATCACAGAGTTAAACCTTTCTTTTGATTGAACAGCTTTGAAACTCTGTTTTTATAGAATCTACAAGAGGACATTTGGAGCACTTAGAGACCAATGGTGGAAAAGGAAATATCTTCTCATAAAAACTAGACAGAAGAATTCTTAGAAACTTCTCTGTGATGTGTGCATTCATCCCACAGAGTTCAATGTTTCTTTTGATTGAACAGTTTGGAAACGCTCTTTTTGTAAAATCTGCAAATGGACATTTGGAGCGCTTCGTGGTTTATTGTAGAAAAGGAAATATCTTCATATAAAATCTAGACAGAAGAAATCTGGGAACCTTCTTTGTGATGTGTGCATTCATCTCACAGAGTTAAACGTTTCCTTTGATAGAGCAGTTTCGAAACTCTGTTTTTGTAGAATCTGCAAGTGGACATTTGCAGCACCTTGAGGCGTTTAGTGGAAAAGGAAATATCTTCACATAAAAACTAGACAGAAGAATTCTGGGAAACTTCTTTGTGATGTGTGCATTCATCTCACAGAGTTGAAACTTTCTTTTGATTTAGCAGTTTGGAAGCACTATTTTTGTAGTGTCTGCAAGTGGACATTTGCAGCACTTTGCTGCCTAAGGTACAAAAGGAAATATCTTCATTTAAAATCTAGAAAGAAGTAATCTGAGAAACTTCTTTGTGATGTGTGCATTCATCTCACAGAGATGAACCTTTCTTTTGATTGAGCAGTTAGGAAACTCTCTTTTTGTAGAATCTGCAAGTGGAGATTTGGAGCGCTTAGCAGCCTATGGTAGGAAAGGAAATATCTTCACATAAAATCTAGACAGAAGCAATCTGAGAAACTTCTTTGTGATGTGTGCATTCATCTCACAGTGTTAAAACTTTGTTGTCATTGAGTAGTTTTGAAACTCTCTTTTTGTAGAATCTGCAAGTGGACATCTGGAGCACTTTGAGGGCTATGTTGGAAAAGGAAATATCTTCACATAAAAACTAGACAGAAGAATTCTGACAAACTTCTTTGTGATGTGTACATTCATCTCCCAGAGTTGAACTTTTCTATTGATTGAGCCGTTTGGAAAAACTCTTTTTGTAGAATCTGCAAGTGGACATTTTGAGCTCTTTGAGGCCTATGGTAGAAAAGGAAATATCTTCACATAAAATCGAGAAAGAAGCAATCTGAGAAACTTATCTGCGATGTGTACATTCATCTCACAGAGTTGAAGCTTTCTTTTGATTGAGCAGTTTGGAAACACTCTTTTTGTAAAATCTGCAGGTGGACATTTGGAACGCTTTGCGGCCTACGGTAGAAAAGGAAATATCTTCATATCACAAAGAGAGAGTTTTAAAACTGCTCAAACAAAAGAAAGGATCAACTCTCTGCGATGAACGCACACATCATAAAGAAGTTTCTCAGAATTCTTCTGTCTAGTTTTTATGTGAAGATATTTCCATTTCCACTGCAGGCCTCAAAACGCTCCAAATATCCACTTGCAGATTCTACAAAAAGACAGTTTCAAAACTGCTCACTCAAAAGAAAGTTTTAACTCTGTGAGATGAATGCACACATCACAAAGTAGTTTCTCAGATTGCTTCTGTCTATAATTTATGTGAAGATGTTTCCTTTTCTACCATAGGCCTCAAAGCGCTCCAAATGTCCATTTGCAGATTCTACAAAAAGAGTGTCTCCAAATTGCTCAATCAAAAGTAATGTTCAACTCTGTGAGAAGAACGTCCGCATCACAAAGAAGTTTCTCAGAATTCTTCTGTCTACATTTTATGTGAGGATATTTCCTTTTCCACAGCAGGCCTCAAAGTGCTCCAAATGTCCACTTGCAAATTCTACAAAAAGAGAGTTTCCAATCTGCTCCGTCAAAAGAAAACTTCAGCTCTGTGAGATGAATGCACACATCACAAAGGAGTTTCTTAGATTGCTTCTGTCTAGATATTATGTGAAGATGTTTCCTTTTCCAACATAGGCCTCAAACTGGTCCAAATGTCCACTTGTAGATGCTACAAAAAGAGAGTTTCAAAACTGCTGTATCAAAAGCAAAGTTTAACTCCGTGAGATGAATACACATATCTCAAAGAAGTTTCTCAGATTGCTTCTGTCTAGATTTTATGTGAAGATATTTCCTTTTCTACCATAGTCCGCAAAACTCTCCAAATGTCCACTGGCAGATTCCACAAAAAGAGTGTTTCCAAACTGCTCAGTCAAAAGAAAGGTTCAACTATGTGAAATGAACGAACACATCAAAAAGTAGTTTCTCAGAATTCTTCTGTCTAGTTTTTATGTGAAGATATTTCCTTTTCCACCATACGCCTCAAAGCGCTCCAAATATCCACTTGCGGATTCTACAAAAACAGAGTTTCAAAACTCCTCAATCAAAAGAAAAGTTTAATTCTGTGAGACGAATGCACACATCACAAAGAAGTTTCTCAGATTGCTTCTTTCTTCTTTTTATGTGAAGATATTTCCTTTCCACAGTAGGCCTTAAAATGTTCCAAATATCCACTTGCAGATTCTACAAAAAGACAGTTTCAAAACTGCTCACTCAAAAGAAAGTTTTAACTCTGTGAGAGGAATGCACACATCATAAAGTAGTTTCTCAGATTGCTTCTGTCTACAATTTATGTGAAGATGTTTCCTTTTCTACCGTAGGCCCCAAAGCGCTCCAAATGTCCACTTGCAGATTCTACAAAAAGAGAGTTTCAAAACTGCTCAATCAAAAGAAAGGTTAACTCTGTGAGATGAATGCACACATCACTAAGAGGTTTCTCAGATTGCTTCTGTCTAGATTTTATGTGAGGGTATTTCATTTTCTACCGCAGGCCACAAAACTCTCCAAATATTCACTTGCAAATTCTACACAAAGAGAGTTTCAAAACTGCTCTATCAAAAGATAGGTTCAAATCTGTGAGTTGAATGCACACATAACAACGAAGTTTGCCGTAATACTTCTGTGTTGTTTTTATCTGAAGATATTTCCTTTTCCAAAATAGACCTAAAAGCCCTTGAAATATCCACTTCTAGATTCTACAAAATAGTGTTTCAAAACTACTCAGTCAATAGAAAGTTTCAACTCTTTGTGATGAATGCACTCATCACAAAGAATTTCCCCAGAATGGTTCTGTGTAGTTTTTTTTTTTTTTTTTTGAAGATATTTCTTTTTCCACCATAGGGCGCAAAAGGCTCCAAATATCCACTTGCAGATTGTACAAAAAGACAGAGTCAAAACTGCTGAATCAAAAGACAGGTTCAACTCCGTGAGTTGAATGCACACATAACAAGAAATTTCGCAGAATGTTTCTGTGTAGTACTTATGTGAAGATATTCCCTTTTCCATAACAGGCCTCAAAGTACTCCAAATATCCACTTGCAGATTCTACAAAAAGAGTGTTCCAAAACTGCTCAATCATAATATAGGTTCAACCCTGTGAGATGAATGCACTTATAACAAAGAAGTTTCTCAGAATGCTTCTGTGTAGTTTTTATTTGAAGATATTTCCTTTTCCACCATAGGCCACAAAGGGCTCCATATATCCACTTGCAGATTCTACAAAAAGAGAGATTCAAAACTGCTCAATGACAAGATAGGTTCAACACTGTGAGTTCAATGCACACATCACAAAGAAGTCTCTCAGAATGCTTCTGTGTAGTTTTTATGTGAAGATATTTCCTTTTCCTCAATAGGTTTTAAAGCTCTCGAAATATCCAGTTACATATTCTGCAAAAAGAGAGATTCAAAACTGCTCAATCATTAGATAGGTTCCATTCTGTAAGTTGAATGCACAAACCATGAAGGAGTTTCTCACAATGCTTCTGTGTAGTTTTTATATGAAGATACTTCCATTTCCACAGTAGGCCTCAAATCGCTCCAAATATCCACTTGCAGATTCTACAAAAAGACGGTTTCAAAACTGCTCAATCAAAAGAAAGTTTCAACTCTGTGAGATGAATGCACACATCACAAAGAAGTTTCTCAGAATGCTTCTGTGCAGTTTTTATGTGAAGATATTTCCTTTTCCACAATAGGCCTCAAGGCGCTCCAAATATCCACTTGCAGATTCTACAAAAAGAGTGTTTCAAAACTGCTCAATCATAAGATATGTATAACCCGGCGAGATGAATGCATACATCACAAAGAAGTTTCACAGAATGCTTCTCTGTAGTTTTTATTTGAAGATATTTCCTTTTTCCACCATAGGCCACAAAGGGCTCCAAATATTCACTTGCAGATTATACAAAAAGAGAGATTCAAATCTGCCCAATCAAAAGATAGATTCAACTCTGTGAGTTGAATGCACACATCACGAAGAAGTTTCCCAGAATGCTTCTGTGTAGTTTTTATGTGAAGATATTTCCTTTTCCACAATTCGTCTCAAAGCTCTATGAATATCCACTTGTAGAGTCTGCAAAAAGAGAGATTCGAAACTGCTCAATCAAAAAATAGCTTCTACTCTGCGATTTGAATGCCTACCTCACAAACAAGTTCCTCAGAATGCTTCTGTGTATTTTTTATTTGAAGATATTTGCTTTTCCACAGTAGGCTTCAAAGCACTCCAAATATCCACTTGCAGATTCTCCAAAAGAGAGATACGTAACTGCTCAATCAAAAGATAAGCTTAAATCTGTGAGTTGAATGCACACATAACAAAGAAGTTTCCCAGAATGGTTTTGTGTAGTTTTCATGTGAAGATATTTCCTTTTCCACAATGGGCCTCAAATCTCTCCCAATATCCAATTGCAGATTCTGCAAAACGGGTGTTTCAAAACTGCTCAGTCAAAGGAGGTTTTCAACTCTCTGTGATAAATGCACTCATCACAAAGAAGTTTCTCTGAATGCTTCTGTGTAGTTTTTATTTGAAGATATTTCCTTTTACACCATAGAGCACAAAGGCTCCAAATATCCACTTGCAGATTCTACAAAAAGAGAGTTTAAAAACTGCTCAATCAAAAGATAGGTTCAACTCTGCGAGTTGACGGCACACATCACAAAGAAGTTTCTCGGAATGGTTCTATGTAGTTTTTTCTGTGAAGATATTTCCTTTTCCACAATAGGCCTAAAAGTGCTCCAAATATCCACTTGCAGATTCTAAAAAAGAGAGATTGAAAATGCTCAATCAAAACATAGGTTCGACTCTGTGAGTTGAATGCACATCTCACAAAGAAGTTTCTAAGAATGCTTCTGTGTTGTTTTTATGTGAAGATATTTGCTTTTCCAGAGTAGGCCTCAAAGCGCTCCAAATATCCAGCTGCAGATTTTGCAAAAAGAGATGTTCAAAAACTGCTCAATCAAAAGACAGGTTCAACTCTCTGAGTTGAATGCACACATAACAAAGAAGTTTCTCAGATGCTTCTGTGTGGGTTTTATGTGAAGATATTTCCTTTTCCACCATAGCCCCCAAAGCGCTCCAAATATCCACTTGGAGATACTACAAAAAGAGTGTTTCAAAACTGCTCAATCATAAGATAGGTTCAACCCTGTGAGATGAATGCACACATCACATAGAAATTTCTCAGAATGCTTCTGTGTAGTTTTTATTAGAAAACATTTCCTTTTCGACCATAGACCGCAAAGGGCTCCAAACATCCACTTGCAGATTCTACAAAAAGAGACATTCAAAAGAGCTCAATCAAAAGATAGGTTCAACTCTCTGAGTGGAATTCACACATCACAAAGAAGTTTCTCAGAATGCTTCTGCGTAGTTTTTATGTGCATTTATTTCCTTTTCCACAATAGGCCTCAAAGCTCTCCAAATAACCACTTGCAGATTCTGAAAAAAGAGTTTCTAAACTGCTCAATCAAAAGATAGTTTCAACCCTATGAGATGAATGTACACATCACAAAGAAGTTTCTCAGAATGCTTCTGTGTAGTTTTTATGTGAAGATATTTCCTTTTCCACAATAGGCCTCAAGTCGCTCCAAATATCCACTTGCAGATTCTACAAAAAGAGTGTTTCAAAACCGCTCAATCATAAGATAGGCTTAACTGTGCGAGATGAATGAACACATCAAAAGAAGTTTCTCAGAATGCTTCGGTGTAGCTTTTATTTCAAGACAGTTCCTTTTCCACCAAAGGCTGCAAAGGGCTCCAAATATCCACGTGTGGATTCTACAAAAAGAGAGATTCAAATCTGTCCAATCAAAAGAAAGATTCAACTCTGTGAGTTGAATGCACACATCACAAAGAAGTTTCCCAGAATGTTTCTGTGCAGTTTTTATGTGAAGATATTTTCTTTTCCACAATGGGCCTCAAAGCTCTCCAAATATCCACTTGCAGATTCTACAAAAAGAGTCTTTCAAAACTGCTTAATCAAAGGTAGGTTTCAATCTGTGTTATGAATATACTCATCACAAAGAAGTTTCTCTGAATGCTTCAGTGTAGTTTTCATTTGCAGATATTTCCTTTTACACAGTAGAGCGCAAAGGGCTCCAAATATCCACTTGCAGTTCCTACAAATAGAGAGTTGAAAAACTGCTCAATCAAAAGATAGGTTCATCTCTGTGAGTTGAAGACACACATCACAAAGAAGTTTCTAGGAATGCTTCTGTGTTGTTTTTATGTGAAGATATTTCCTTTTCCACAATAGGCCTCAAATCGCTCCAAATATCCACTTGCAGATTCTACAAAAAGAGTGTTTCAAAACTGCACAATCAGAAGAAAGGTTCAAGTCTGTGAGGTGAACGCACACATCACAAAGTAGTTTCTCAGAATGCTTTTGTGTAGTTTTTATGTGCAGATATTTGCTTTTCCACACTAGGCCTCAAAGCACTCCAAATATCCACTTGCAGATTCTACAAAAAGAGTGTTTCAAAGCTGCTAAATGAAAAGAAATTTTCAACTCTGTGAGATGAATGCATGCATCACAAAAAAGTTTCTGAGGATGCTTATGTGTAATTTTTATGTGAAGATATCTCCTTTTCCACAATAAGCATCAGAAGCTCCAAATATCCACTTGCAGAATTTACAGAAAGAGTGTTTCAAAACTGCTCAATCAAAAGAAAGGTTCAGCCCTGTGAGATGAATGCCCACATCACAAAGAAGTTTCTCAGAATGCTTCTGAGTAGTTTTTATATTAAGATATATGCTTTTCCACGGTAGGCCTCAAAGCACTCCAAATATCCACATGCACATTCTACAAAAAGAGAGTTTCAAAACTGCTCAATCATAAGATATGTTCAACCCTGTGAGATGAATGCACACATCACAAAGCAGTTTCTCAGAATGCTTCTGTGTAGTTTTTATTTGAAGATATTTCCTTTTCCACCATAGGCCACATAGGGCTCCAAATATCCACATGCAGATTCTACAAAAATAGAGATTCAAAACTGCTCAATCAACAGAGACATTCAACTCTGTGAGTTGAATGCACACATCACAAAGAAGTTTCGCAGAATGTTTCTGGGTAGCTTTTATCTGAAGATATTTGCTTTTCCACAGTGGGCTTCAAAGCCCTCCAAATATCCACTTGCAGATTCTACTAAAACAGTGTTTCAAAACTCCTCAAACAAAACAAAGTTTCAACTCTGTGAGATGAATGCACACATCACAGAGAAGTAGCTCAGAATGCTTCTGTGCAGATTTATCTGAAGATATTTGGTTTTCCACGGTATTCCTCAAAGCCCACCAAATATACACTTGCAGATTCTTCAAAAAGAGTGTTTCAAAACTGCTCAATCATAAGATGGTTCAACCCCTTGAGATGAATTCACTCATCACAAAGAAGTTTTTCAGAATGCTTCTGTGTAGTTTTTATTTGAAGATATTTCCTTTTCCACCATAGGTCGCAAAGGGCTCCAAATATCCACTTGCAGATTCTACAAGAAGAGAGATTAAAAAATGCTCAATCAAAAGATAGGTTCAACTCTGTGAGATGAATGCACACATCCCAAAGGAGTTTCTGAAAATACTTCTGTGTAGTTTTTATGTGAAGATATTTGCTTTTCCACAGCAGGCCTCAAAGGGTTCCAAATATCCACTTGCAGATTCTGCAAAAAGAGAGATTAAAAACTGCTCAATCAAAAGATAGTTTCAACTCTGTGAATTAAATGCACACATCACAAAGAAGTTTCTCAGAATGCCTCTCTGTAGCTTTTATGTGAAAATATCTCCTTCTCTAAAATAGGCCTCAGAGCCCACCAAATATCCACTTCCAGATTCTACCAAAAGAGTGTTTCAAAACTGCTCAAACCAAAGAAACTTTCAACTCTGGGAGTTGAATGCGCACCTCACAAAGAAGTTTCTCAGGGTCCTTTTGTGTAGTTTTTATGTGAAGATATTTCCTTGTCCACAATAGGCCCCAAATGGCTCCACATATCCACTTGCAGATTCTACAAAAAGAGTGTTTCAAAACTGCTCAATCAAAAGAAAAATTCAACTCTGTGAGATGAATGCACAAATCACAAAGAAGTTTCTCAGAATGCTTCTGTGTAGTTTTTATGTGAAGATATTTTATGTTCCACAGTAGGCCTCAAAACGCTCCAAATATCCACTTGCAGATTCTACAAAAAGAGAGATTCAAAACTGCACAATCCAAAGAAAGGTTCAACTCTGTGTGACGAATGTAGTCATCACAAAGAAGTTTCTCTGAAAGCTTCTGTGTAGTTTTTATTTCAAGATATATCCTTTTCCACCATAGGACGCAAAGGACTCCAAATATCCACTTGCACATTCTACAAAAAGAGATTCTAAACGGTTCAATCAAAAGATAGGTTCAACTCTGTGAGTTGAATGCACACATCACAAAGAAGTTTCTCAGAATGCTTCTGTGTAGTTTTTAATGGGAAGATATTTCCTTTTCCACAATACGCCTCAAATGGCTCAAAATGTCCACTTGCAGATACTACAAAAAATATGTTTCAAAACTGCTCAATAAAAACAAAGTTTCAACACTGTGAGATGAATGCACACATCACTAAGCAGTTTCTCAGAATGCTTCTGTGTAGCTTTTATGTGAAGATATTTGATTTTCCACAGTAGGCCTCAAAGCGCTCCAAATATCGACTTGCAGATTCTGCAAAAAGGGAGATTCAAAGCTGCTCAATCAAAAGATAGATTCAACTCCGTGAGCTGAATCCACAAGACACAAAGAAGTTTCTCAGAATGATTCTGTGTAGTTTTTATGTGAAGATATCTCCTTCTCCAAAATAGGCCTCAAAGCCCTCCAAATATCCACTTCCAGATTCTACGAAAAGAGTGTTTCAAAACTGCTCCATCGAAAGAAAGTTTCAACTCTGTGAGATGAATGCACTCATCACAAAGAAGTTTCTCTGAATGCTTCTGTGTAGTTTTTATTTGAAGATATATCTTTTTCCACCACAGGGCACAAAGGGCTTGAAATACCCACTTGCAGTTTCTACAAAAAGAGAGATTTTAGACTGCTCAATCAAAAGATAGGTTCAACTCTGTGAGTTGGAAAAAACACATCACAAAGACGTTTCTCCTTATGCTACTGTGTAGTTTTTAGGTGAAGACATTTCCTTTTCCACATGAGGCCTCAAATCATTCCAAATATTCACTTGCAGATTCTGAAAAAAGAGAGATGATAAACTGCTCAATCAAAAGATAGCTTCAACTCTGTGAGTTGAATTCACACATCAAAAAGAAGTTTCCCAGAATGCGTCTGTGTAGTTTTTATGTGACGATATTTGCTTTTCCACAGCAGGCCTCAAAGGGCTCCGAATATCCACTTGCAGATTCTGCAAAAAGAGAGATTCAAAACTGCTCAATCAAAAGATAAGTTCAACTATGAGAGTTGAATGCACACATAACAAAGAAGTTTCTCAGAATATTTCTGTGTAGTATTTATGTGGAGATATTTCGTTTTCAAAAATAGACCTCAAAGCCCTCCAACTATCCACTTCCAGATTCTACAAAAAAGTGTTTCAAAATTGTTCAACAATAGAAAGGTTCAACTCTGTGTGAATGAATGCATACATCGCAAAGATGTTTCTCAGAATGCTTCTGTGTACCTTTTATCTGAAGATATTCGCTTTTCCACAGCAGGCCTCAAAGGGCTCCAAATATCCACTTGCAGATTCTAAAAAAAGAGTGTTTCACAACTGCTAAATCATAATAAAGGTTCAACCCTGTGAAAATGAATGCACATATCACAAAGAAGTTTCTCTGAATGCTTCTGTGTAGTTTTTATTTGAAGATATTTCCTTTTCGACCATAGGCCACAAATGGCTCCAAGTTTCCAAGTGCAGATACTGTAAAAAGAGAGATTCAAAACTGCTTAATCAAAAGGTAGGTTCAACTCTGTGAGTTGAATGCACAAATCACAAAGAAGTTTCTCAGAATACTTCTGTGCAGTTTATATGTGAAGATATTTGCTTTTCCACAGTAGCCCCCAAAGGGCTCCAAATATCCACTTGCAGATTCTGCAAATAGAGAGATTCAAAACTGCTCAATAAAAAGATGCGTTCAACACTGTAAGTTGAAGGCACACCTCACAGAGAAGTTTCTCAGAATGCTTCTTTGTTGTTTTTATGTGAAGATATCTCCTTCTACAAAACAGGCCTCAAAGCCCTCCAATTATCCACTTCCAGATCCTACGAAAAGAGTGTTTCAAAACTGCTCTATCCAAAGAAAGGTTCAACTCTGTGTGATAAATGCACTCATCCCAAAGAAGTTTCTCTGAATGCTTCTGCGTAGTTTTATTTGAAGATATTTCCTTTTCCACAATAGGGCCCAAAGGGCTCCAAATATACACTTGCAGATTCTACAAAAAGAGAGATTCTAACTGCTCAATAAATAGATAGGTGCAACCCTGTGAGTTGAATGCACACAATACAAAGAAGTTTCTCAGAATACTTCTGTGTAGTTTTTGTGAGAAGATATTTCCTTTTCCACAATAGGCCTCAAATTGCTCCAAATATCCGCTTTAAGATTCTACAAAAAGATTGTTTCAAAACTGCTCCATCAAAAGAAAGATTCAACTCTGTGAGATGAATGCACACATCCCAAAGAAGTTTCTCAGAATGCTTCAGTATAGTTTTTATGTGAAGATATTTCCTTTTCCACAATACGCCTCAAATTGCTCCAAATATCTACTTGCAGATTCTACAAAAAGAGTTTTCAAAACAGCTCAATGAAAAAAAAGGTTCAACTCTGTGAGATGAATGCACACATCACAAAGAAGTTTCCCAGAATGCTTCTCTGTAATTTTTATGAGAAAATATTTCCTTTTCCACAAAAGACCTCAAAGGGCTGCAAATATCCACTTGCAGATTCTACAAAAAGAGTGTGTCAAAACTGCTCTGTCATAAGATAGTTTCAACCCTGTGAGATAAATGTATACATCACAAAGAAGTTTCTCAGAATGTTTCTGTGTAGTTTTTATTTGAAGATATTTCCTTATCCACCATAGGCCACAAGGGGCTTCAAATATCCACTTGCAGATTCTGCAAAGGAGAGATTTTAAACTGCTTAATGAAAATATAGGTTCAACTCTGTGATTTGAATGCACACATCAAAAAGAAGTTTCTAAGAATGCTTCCGAGTAGTTTTTGTGTGAAGATATTTTCTTTTCCACCACAGGCTGCAAAGGGCTCCAAATATCCACTTGCAGATACTGCAAAAAGAGAGATTCTAAACTGCTCAATCTAAAGATAGGTTCAATTCTGTGAGTTGAATGCACACATCACAAAGAAGTTTCTCAGAATTCCTCTGAGTATTTTTTATGTGAAGATATTTCCTTTTCCATGGTAGGACTCAAAGCACACGAAATATCCACTTGCAGATTCTACAAAAAGAGTGTTTCAAAGCTGCTCAATCAAAAGAAAGGTTCAACTCTGTGAGATGAATGCACACATCATAAAGCAGTTTCTCAGAATGCTTCTGTGTAGTTTTTATCTGAAGATAATTGCTTTTCCACGGTAGGTCTCAAAACGCTCCAAATATCCACTTGCAGATTCTACATAAAGAGTGATTCAAAACTGCTCAATCATAAGATAGGTTCAACCCTGTGAGATGAATGCACACATCACAAAGAAGTTTCTCAGAATGATTCTGTGTAGTTTTTATGTGAACATATTTGATTTTCCAAAGTAGGCCTCACTGCGATTCAAATATCCACTTGCCGATTCTTCAAAAAGAGAGACTCAAACCATCTCAATAAAAAGAAAGGTTGAACTCTGTGAGTTCAATGCTCACATTACGAAGAAGTTACTGAGAATGCTTCTATACAGTTTTTATTTGAAGATATTCCTTTCTCCACCAAAGGGCAGAAAGGACTCCAGTTATCCACTTGCAGATTCTACAAAAAGAGAGATTCTAAAGTGCTCAATGAAAAGATAGGTTCAAATCTGAGAGTTGAATGCACACATCACAAAGTACTTTCACAGAATGCTTCTGAGTGGTTTCTTTGTGAAGATATTTCCTTTTCCACGTTAGCTCTCAAAGGTTTCCAATTATCCACTTGCAGATTCTACAAAAAGAGTGTTTCAAAATTGCTCAACGCAAAAAAAATTTCAACTCTGTGAGATGAATGCACGCATCACAAAGAAGTTTCTCAGAATGCTTCTGTGTAGTTTTTATATGAAGATATTTCCTTATCCACAGTAGGCCTCAAAAGGCTCCAAATATCCACTGGCAGATTCTACAAAAAGAGGGTTTCAAAACTGCTCAATCAAAAGAAAGGTTCAACTCTGTGAGATGAATGCACACATCACCAAGTAGTTTCTCAGAATGCTTCTGTGTAGTTTTTATCTGAAGATATTTGCTTTTCCATGGTAGGCCTCAAAGCGCTGCAAAGATCCACTTGCAGATTCAACAAAAAGAGTGTTTCAAAACTGCTCAATCATAAGATAGGTTCAACCTTGTGAGATGAATGCACACATCATGAAGAAGTTTCTCAGAATGTTTGTGTGGAGTTTTTATTTGAAGATATTTCCTTTTCCAACATAGGCCACAAAGGCCTCCAAATTTCCACGTGCAGATTCTGCAACAAGAGATATTCAAAACTGCTGAATCAAAAGATATGTTCAACTCTGTGAGTTGAATGCACACATCCCAAAGGAGTTTCACACAATGCTTCTGTGTAGTTTTTATGTGAAGATATTTGGTTTTCCACTGTAGGCCTCAAAGGGCTCCAAATATTCACCTGCAGATTCTGCAAAAAAAGAGATTCTAAACTGCTCAATCAAAAGATAGGTTCAACTCTGTGAGCTGAATGCATACATCACAAAGAAGTTCCTCTGAATGCTTCTGTGTAGTTTTTATTTGAAGATATTTCCATTTCCACCATAGGGCGCAAAGGGCTCCAAATATCCACTTGAAGATTCTACAAAAAGAAAGATTCAAAACTGCTCAATGAGAAGATAAGTTCAACTCTGTGAGTTTAATGCACACCTCACAAAGAAGTTTCTCAGAATGCTTCTGTGTAGGTTTTATGTGAAGATCTTTCCTTTCCACAACAGGCCTCAAATGTCTCCAAATATCCACTCACAGATTCTACAAAAGAGTGTTTCAAAACTGCTCAATCAAAAGAAAGTTTCAACTCGGTGAGATGAATGGACACATCCCAAGGAAGTTTCTCAGAATGCTTCTGTGTAGTTTTTATGTGAAGATATTTCTTTATCCACAATAGGCCTCAAAGGGCTCCAAATATCCACTTACAGATTCTACAAAAAGAGTGTTTCAAAACTGCTCAATCAAAAGAAAGGTTCAACTCTGTGAGATGAATGCACACGTCACAAAGAAGTTTCTCAGAATGCTTCTGTATAGTATTTATGTGAAAATATTTCCTTTTACATAATAGGCCTCAAAGTTCTCCAAACATCCACTCGCAGATTATGCAAAAAGAGAGACTCAAAACTGCTTCATCAAAAGGTAGGTTCAACTCTGTGAGTTGAATGCATACATCACAAAGTAGTTTCTCAGAATGCTTCTGAGTAGTTTTTATGTGAACATATTTCATTTCCCACAGTAGGTCTCACAGCGCTCCAAATATCCACTTGCAAATTCTACAAAAAGAGAAATTCAAAAGTGCTAAATCAAAAGATATGTTCAGGTCTGTGAGTTGAATGCTCACATCACAAATAAGTTTCTGAGAATGTTTCTGTGTAGTTCTTATTTGAAGATATTTCCTTCTCCACCACAGGGCGCAAAGGGATCCAATTATTCCACTTGCAGATTCTACAAAAAGAGTGTTTCAAAACTGCTCAATGAAAAGAAAGTTTCAACATTGTTAGATGAATGCAAGCATCACAAAGAAGTATCTCAGAATGATTCCGTGTAGTTTTTATGTGAAGATATTTCCTTTTCCACAATAGGACTCAAAGGGCTCCAAATATCAACTTACAGTTTCTACAAAAAGAGTATTTCAAATCTGCTCAATCAAAAGAAAGTTTCAACTCTGTGAGTTGAATGCACACATCGCAAAGAAGTTTCTCAGAATGCTTCTGTGTAGCTTTTATCGGAAGATATTTGCTTTTCCACGTTAGGCCTCAAAGCGCTCCAAATATCCAGTTGCAGATTCTGCAAAAAGAGAGATTCAAAACTGCTCAATAATAAGATAGTTTCAACTCTGTGAGTTGAATGCATACATCACAAAGAAGTTTCTATGAATGCTTCCATGTAGTTTTTATTTGAAGATATTTCCTTTTCCACCATGGGGTGCAAAGGGCTCCAAATATCCACCTGCAGATTTTACAAAAAGAGAGATTCAAAATTGCTCAATGAGAAAATAAGTTAAACTCTGTGGGTTGAATGCACACCTCACAGAGAAGTTTCTCAGAATGCTTCTGTGTAGTTTTTATGTGAAGATGTTTCCTTTTCCATAATAGGTTTCCAAGCTTTCCAAACATCCACTTGCAGATTCTGCAAAAAGAGAGCTTCTAAACTGCTCAATCAAAATATAGGTTCAACTCTGTGAGTTGAATGCACACATCAGAAAGAAGTTTATCAGAATGCTTCTGAGTAGTTTTTATTTGAAGATATTTCCTTTTCCACAATAGTCCTCAAAGGGCTCCAATTATCAGCTTGCAGATTGTACAAAAAGAGTGTTTCAAAACTGCTCAATCAAAAGAAAGTTTCAACTCCGTGAGATGAATGCACACACCGCAAAGAACTTTCTCAGAATGTTTATGTGTAGTTTTTATGTGAAGATATTTCCTTTTCCACAATAGGCCACAAAGCTTTGAAAACACACACTTGCAGATTCTTCAAAAAGAGAGATTCCAAACTGCTCAATCAAAAGATAGGTTCAACTCTGTGAGTTGAATGCACACATCCCAAAGAAGTTTCCCAGAATGCTTCTATGTAGTTTTCATGGGAAGATATTTCCTTTTCCACAATAGGCCTCAAAGGGCTCCAAATATCCACTTGCAGATTCTACAAAAAGAGTGTTTCAAAACTGCTCAATCAAGAGAAAGTTTTAACTCTGTGAGATGAATGCAAACATCGCAAAGAAGTTTCTCTGAATGCTTCTGTGTAGCTTTTATCTGAAGATATTTGCTTTTCCACAGTAGGCCTTAAGGCGCTCAAAACATTCAGTTACAGATTCTGCAAAAAGAGAGATTCAAAACTGCTCAATCATAAGATAGGTTCAATTCTGTGAGTTGCATGCATACATCACAAAGAAGTTTATCAGAATGCTTCTGAGTAGTTTTTATGTGAAGATATTTACTTTTCCACAATAGCCATCAAAGGGCTCCAAATATCCACTTGCAGATTCTACAAAAAGAGTCTTTCAAAACTGCTGAATCAAAAGTAAGGTTCACCTTTGTGAGATGAATGCACACATCACAAAGAAGTTTCTCAGAATGCTTCTGTGTAGTTTTTATCTGAAGATATTTGCTTTTCCACGGTGGGCCTCAAAGCGCTCCAAATATACACTTCCTGATTCTACAAAAGGAGTGTTTCAAAACCGCTCAATCATAAGATAGGTTCAACCCTGTGAGATGAATGCACACATCACAAAGAAGTTTCTCAGTATGTTTCTGTTTAGTTTTTATTTGAAGATATTTCTTTTTCCACCAAAGGCCACAAATGGCTCCAAATATCTACTTGCAGTTTCTGCCAAAAGAGAGATTCAAAACTGCTCAATCAAAAGATAGGTTCAACTCTGGGAGTTGAATGTACACATCCCAAAGAAGTTTCTCAGAATGCTTCTGTGTAGTTTTTATATGAAGATATTTGCTTTTCCTCAGTAGGCCTCAAAGGGCAGCAAATATCCACTTGCAGATTCTACAAATAGAGAGATTCAAAACTGCTCAATGAGAAGAAAAGTTCAACTCTGTGGGTTGAATGCACTCCTCATAAAGAAGTTTCTCAGAATGCTTCTGTGTAGTTTTTATGTGAAGATATTTCCTTTTCCACAATATTCCTCAAAGGGCTCCAAATATCCAGTTACAGATTCTACAAAAAGAGTCTTTCAAAACTACTCAATCAAAGGAAAGTTTCAACTCTGTGAGATGAATGCACACATCACAAAGAAGTTTCTCAGAATGCTTCTGTTTAGTTTTTGTCTGCAGATATATGCTTTTCCATGGTAGATCTCAATTCCCTCCAAATATCCATTTACAGATTCTACAAAAAGAGTGTTTCAAAACTGCTCAATAATATGGTAGGTTCAAACCTGTAAGATAAATGCACATATCACAAAGAAGTTTCTCAGAATGCTTCTGTGTAGTTTTTATCTGAAGATATTTCCTTTTCTACCATAGGACACAATGGGCTCCAAATATCCACTTGCACATTCTACAAAAAGAGAGACTCAAAACTGCTCAAAGAGGACATAAGTTCAACTCTGTGAGTTGAATGCACACGACACAAAGAAGTTTCTCAGAATGGTTCTGTGTAGTTTTTATGTGAAAATATTTCCTTTTCCACAATAGGCCTGAAAGCTCTCCAAACATCCACTTGCAGATTCTGCAAAAAGAGAGATTCAAAACTACTCAATCAAAAGATAGGTTCAACTATGTGAGTTGAATGCACACATCACAAATAAGTAAGTTTCTCAGAATGCTTCTGAGTAGTTTTTATGTGAAGATATATTCTTTTCCACAGTAGGCCTCAAAGGGCTCCAATTATCCAATTGCAGATTCTTCAAAGAGTGTTTCAAAACTGCTCAATCAAAAGAAAAGTTCAACTCTGTGATATGAATGCACACATCACAAAGAAATTTCTCAGAATTCTTCTGTGTAGTTTTTATGTGAAGATATTTTATTTTCCACAGTAGGCCTCACAGCGCTCCAAATATCCACTTTCAGATTCTACAAAAGAGAGACTCAAAACTGCTCAATCAAAAGATAGGTTCAACTCTGTCAGTTGAATGCACACATCATGAAGAAGTTTCTGAGAATGCTTCTGTGTAGTTTTTATTTGAAGATATTTCCTTTTCCACCATAGTGTGCAAAGGGCTCCAAATATCCACTTGCAGATTCTACAAAGAGAGAAATTCAAACCTTCTCAATCAAAAGATAATTTCAACTCTGTGAGTTGAATGCACACATCACAAAGAAGCTTCTCAGAATGCTTCTGAGTAGCTTTTAAGTGAAGATATTTTCTTTTCCACAATAGGCCTCTATGGGCTCCTATTATCCACTTCCAGATTCTACAAAAAGAGAGTTTTAAAACTGCTCAACGAAAAGAAAGTTTCAAATCTGTGAGATGAATGTACACATCACAAAGAAGTTTCTCAGAATGCTTCTGTGTAGTTTCTATGTGAAGATATTTGTTTTTCCACAGTAAGCCCCAATGAGCTCCAAATATCCACTTGCAGATTCTACAAAAAGAGTGTTTCAAAACTGCTGTATCAAAAGAAAGATTCAACTCTGTGAGATGAACGCACAGATCACAAAGAAGTTTCTGAGAATGCTTCTATGTAGTTTTTATGTGAAGATATTTCTTTTCCACAATAGACCTCAAAGGGCTTCAAATGACCACTTGCAGATTCTACAACAAGTGTGTTTCAAAACTGCTCAATCAAAAGAAAGTTCAACTCTGAGAGATGAATGCACACATCACAAAGAAGTTTATCAGAATGCTTATGTGAAGTTTTTATGTGAAGATATTTCCTTATCCACAATAGACCTCAAAGGGCTCCAAATATCCACTTGCAGATTCTACAAAAAGAGTGTTTCAAAACTGCTCAATCAAAAGAAAGTTTCAACTCTGTGAGATGAATGCACAAATCACAAAGTATTTTCTCAGAATGCCTCTGTGTAGTTTTTAAGTGAAGATATTTTCTTTTCCACAGTAGGCCTCAAAGGGCTGAAAATATAAACTTGCAGATTCTGCAAAAAGAGAGATTGAAAACTGCTTAATCAAAAGATAGCTTCAACTCTGTGAGTTGAATGCATACATCACAAAGAAGCTCCTCCGATTGCTTCTGTGTAGTTTTTATTTGAAGATATTTCTTTTTCCACCATGGGGCCAAAGGGCTTCAAATATCCACTTGCAGATTCTACAGAGGGATTCAAAGCTGCTCAATGAGAAGATAAGTTCAACTCTGTGAGTTGAATGCACACCTCACAAAGAAGTTTCTCAGAACGCTTCTGTGTACTTTTTATGTGAAGATATTTTCTTCTCCACAATTGGCCTCAAAGATCTCCAAACCTCCACCTGCATATTCTGCAAAGGGAGAGATTCAAAACTGCTCAATCGAAAGGTAGGTTCACCTCTGTGAGTTGCATGCACAAATCACAACGTAGTTTCTCAGAATGTTTCTTTGTAGTTTTATGTGAACTTATTTGATTTTCCACATTAGGTCTCACAGTGGTCCAAATATCCACTTGCAGATTTTACAAAAAGAGAGATTCAAAACTGTTCAATCAAAAGTTAGGTTCAATTCTGTGAGTTGAATACACACATTACGATGAAGTTTCTGAGAATGCTTCTGTGTAGTTTTTATATGAAGATATTTCCTTTTCCTCCATACGGTGCAAGGGCTCCAAATATCCACGTTGCAGATCCTACAAAAAGATGGATTCGAAACTGCTCAATCTCAACACTGTGAGTACAATGCACACATCACTAAGAAGTTGCTCAGAATGCTTCTGTGTAGTTTTTATGTGAAGATATTTGCTTTACCACGGTAGGCCTCAAAGCGCTCCAAGTATCCACTTGCAGACTCTACAAAAAGAGTGTTTCAAAACTGCTCAATCATAAGATAGGCTCAACCCTGTGAGATGAATGTATACATCACAAAAAAGTTTCTCAGAATGTTTCTGTGAAGTTTTTATTTGAAGATATTTCCTTTTCTACGATCGGCCGCAAAGGGCTTCAAATATCCACTTGCAGATTCTGCAAAAAGATTCAAAACTGCTCAATCAGAAGAAAGGTTCAAACCTGTGAGTTGAATTCACACATTCCAAAGAATTTTCCCAGAATGCTTCTGTGTAGTTTTTTAGTGAAGATATTTGCTTTTCCACGGAAGGCCTTAAAGGGCTCCAAATATCATCCTGCAGATTCTGCAGAAAGAGAGATTCATAACTGCTCAATCAAAAGATAGGTTCAACTCTGTGAGTTGAAAGCGTACATCACAAAGAAGTTTCTCTAAATGCTTCTGTGTAGTTTTTATTTGAAGACATTTCTTTTTCCACCATAGGGTGCAAAGGGTTCCAAATATCCACTTGCAGATTCTACAAAAGGTGTGTTTCAAAACTGCTCAATCAAAAGAAAGTGTCAGCTCTGTGAGTTCAATGCACACCTCACAAAGAAGTTTCTCAGAGTGCTTCTGGGTAGTTTTTATGTGAAGATATTTCCTTTTCCAGAATAGGCGTCAAAGGGCTGCATATATTCACTTGAAAATTCTACAAAAAGTGTTTCAAAACTGTTCAATCAAAAGAAATGTTCAACTCTGTGAGATAAATGCACACATCACAAAGAAGTTTCTGAGAATGCTTCTGTGCCGTTTTTAACTGAAGGTAACTCCTTTTCCACAGTAGGCCTCAAAGTGATCAAAATATCCACTTGTGGATTCTACAAAAAGAGTGTTTCATAACTACTCAATCATAAGATAGCCTCAAACCTTTGAGATGAAAGCACACATCACAAAGAAGTTTCTGAGAATGTTTCTGTGTAGTTTTTACTTGAAGATATTTCCTTTTCTACCATAGGCCACAAAGGGCTCCAAATATCCACTTGCAGATTCTGCAAAAAGATTCAAAACTGCTCAATGAGAAGAGAGGTTCAACCCTGTGAATTGAAATCACTCATCACAAAGAAGTTTCTCAGAATGCTTCCGTGTAGGTTTTATGTGAAGATATTTTCTTTTCCACAATAGGTGTCAAGGGGCTCCAAATGTCTACTGGCAGATTGTACAAAAAGAGTTTTTCCAAACTGCTCAATGAAAAGGAAGCTTCAAATCTGTGGGATGAATGCACAGATCACAAAGAAGTTTCTCAGAATCCTTCTGTGCAGTTTTTATGTGAAGATATTTCCTTTTCCACAAGAGGCCTCAAAGGGCTCCAATTATCCACTTGCAGATTCTACAAAAAGAGTCTTTCAAAACTGCTGAATCAAAAGAAAAGTTTAACACTGTGAGATGAAAGCACATATCACAAAGAAGTTTCTCAGAATGCTTCTCTGTAGTTTTTATCTAAAGATATTTGCTTTTCCATGGTAGGCCTCAAAGCGTTCCAAATATCCACTTGCAGATAATACAAAAAGAGGGTTTCAAAAATGCTCAATCGTAAGATAAGTTCAACTCTTTGAGTTGAATGCACACATCACGAAGAAATTTCTGAGAATTTTCCTGTGTAGTTTTTATTTAAAGATATTTCCTTTTCCTCCATAAGGCACAAATGGCTCCAACTATCCACTTGCAGATTCTACAAAAAGAGAGATTCTAAACTGCTCAAAAGATAGTTTCACCTCTGTGAGTTGAATGCACACGTCACAAAGAAGTTTCTCAGAATGCTTCTGAGTACTTTTTATTTGAAGATATTTCCTTTTCCACAATAGGCCTCAAAGGAGGCCAATTTTCCACTTGCAGTTTCTGCAAAAACAGTGTTTCAAAACTGCTCAATCAAAAGCAAGATTCAACCCTGTGAGATGAATGCACACATCACAAGAAGTTTCTCAGAATGCTTCTGTGTAGTTTTTATGTGAAGATATTTCCCTTTCCACAATAAGCCTCAAAGGGCTCCAAATATCCACTTGAAGATTCTACAAAAAGAGTGTTTCAAAACTGCTCAATCAAAAGAAAGGTTCAACTCTGTGAGATGAATGCAAACATCACAAACAAGTTTCTAAGAATGCTTCTGTGCCGTTTTTATGTGAACATATTTGATTTTCCACAGTAGACCTCACAGCGCTCCAACTATCCACTTGCAGATTCTACAAAATAGAGATTCAAAACTGCTCAATCAAAAGACAGGTTCAACTCTGTGAGTTGAATGCACACATCAGAAAGAAGTTTCTCAGAATGCTTCTGTGTAGTTTTTATATGAAGATATTTCTTTTACACAGTAGGCCTCGAAGGTCTCCAAATATCCACTTGCAGATTCTACAATAAGTGTGTTTCAAAACTGCTCAATCAAAAGAAGGTTTCAACTATGTGAGTTGAATGCACACATCACAAAGAAGTTTCTCAGAATGCTTCTCTGTTTTATTTATCTGAAGATATTTGCTATTCCACGGTAGGCCTCAAAGTGCTCCAAATATCCACATGCAGATTCTACAAAAAGATTGTTTCAAAACCGCTGAATCATAAGATAGGCTCAACCCTGTGAGATGAATGCACACATCACAAAGTAGTTTCTCAGAATGTTTCTGTGTAGTTTTTATTTGAAGATATTTCCTTTTCCAAAGTAGGCCACAAAGGGCTCCAAATATCCACTTGCAGATTCTACAAAAGGAGAGATTCAAAACTGCTCAATCAAAAGATAGGTTCAACCCTGTGAGTAGAATTCACACATCCCAAAGGATTTTCTCAGAATGCTTCTGTGTAGTCTTTAAGTGAGATATTTGCTTTTACACAGTAGGCCTCAAAGGCTTCAAATATAAACCTGCCGATTCTGCAAAAAGAGAGATTCAAACTGCTCAATCAAAAGATACGTTCAACTCTGTGAGGTGAATGCATACCTCACAAAGAAGTTTCTCTGAATGCCTCTGTGTAGTTTTTATTTGAGGGTATTTCCTTTTCCACCATGGGGCACAAAGGGCTCCAAATATCAACTTGCAGATTCTACAAAAAGAGAGATTCAAAACTGCTCAATCAGAAGATATATTCAACTCTGTGAGTTAATGCACACCTCACAAAGAAGTTTGTAAGAATACTTCTGTGTAGTTTTTATGTGAAGATATTTCCTTTTCTACAACAGGCCCCAAAGCTCTCCAAATATCCACTTGCAGATTCTGCAAAAGGAGAGATTCAAAACTGCTCAATCAAAAGAAGGGTTCAACTGTGAGATAAATGCACCAATCACAAAGAAGTTTCTCAGAATGTTTCTGTGTAGTTTTTATGTAAACATATTTGATTTTCAACAATAGGCCTCACAGCCCTCCAAATATCCACTGGCAGAATCTGCAAAAGAGAGATTCAAAACTGCTCAATCAAAAGATAGGTTCAGCTCTGTGAGTTGAATGCACACATCACGAAGTAGTTTCTGAGAATGCTTCTGTGAATTTTTTGTTTGAAGATATTTCCTTTTCCACCTTAGGGTGCAAAGGGTTCCAAATATCCACTTACAAATTCTACAAAGAGAGATTCCAAACTGCTCAATCAAAGGGTAGGTTCAACTCTGTGAGTTCAATGCACACATCACAAAGAAGTTTCTCAGAATGCTTCTGAGTAGTTTTTATGTGAAGATATTTGCTTTTCCACAATAGGTCTCAAAGGGCTCCAATTATCCACTAGCAGATTCTACAAAAGAGTGTTTCAAAACTGCTCAATCAAAAGAAAAGTTCAACTCTGTGAGATGAATTCACACATCCCAAAGGATTTTCTCAGAATGCTTCTGTGTAGTCTTTAAGTGAAGATACTTGCTTTCACACAGTAGACCTCAAAATCTCCAAATATAAACCTGCCGATTCTGCAAAAAGACAGATTCAAAACTGCTCAATCAAAAGAAATGTTCAACTCTGTGAGATGAATGCATACATCACAAAGAAGTTTCTCATAATGCTTCTGTGTAGTTTTTATCTGCAGATATTTGCTTTTCCACGGTAGGCCTCAAAGTGCTCCAAATATCCACTTGCAGATTCTACAAAAGAGAGATTCTAAACTTCTCAATGAGAAGATAGGTTCAACTCTGTGAGTTGAATGCACACCTCACAAAGAAGTTTCTCAGAATGCTTCTGTGTAGTTTTTATTTGAAGTTATTTCCTTTTCCAAAATAGTCCTCAAAGCTCTCCAAATATCCACTTGCAGATTCTGCAAAAAGAGAGATTCAAAACTGCTCAGTCAAAAGGTAGTTCAGCGTTGGGAGTTGAATGCACACATCACAAAGAATTTTCTCAGAATGCTTCTGTTTGGTTTTTATGTGAACATATTTGATTTTCCACAGTAGGCCTCACAGGGCTGCAAATATCCAGTTGCAGATTCTACAAAAAGAGAGATTCAAAACTGCTCAATCAAAATATAGGTTCATCTCTGTGAGTTTAATGCACACATCTCGTAGAACTTTGTCAGAATACTTCTGTGCGGTTTTTATTTGAAGATATGTCCTTTACCACCATAGGGCCCAAAAGGCTCCAAATAGCCACTTACAGATTCTACAAAGAGAGAGATTCTAAACTGCATAATCAAAAGATAGGTTCAACTCTGTGAGTTGAATGCACACATCACAAAGAAGTTTCTCAGAATGCTTCTGAGTAGTTTTTATGTGAAGATATTTCTTTTTCCACAATACACCACAAAGGGCTCCAATTAACCACTTGCAGATTCTACAAAAAGAGTGTTTCAAAATTGCTCAATAAAATGAAATGTTCAACTCTGTGAGATGAATGCACCCATCACAAAGAAGTTTCTCTGAATGTTTCTGTGTAGTTTTTATGAGAAGGTATTTCCTTTTTCACAATAGGTCTCTAGGGGCTCCAAATATCCCCTGCAGATCCTACAAAAAGAGTGTTTCAACACTGCTCAATGAAAAGAAAGTTTCAACTCTCTGAGATGAATGCACACATCACAGAGAAGTTTCTCAGAATGCTTCTGTGTAGTTTTTATGTGAAGATATTTGCTTTTCCACATTAGACCTGAAAGCACTCCAATTATCCACTTGCAGATACTGCAAAAAGAGATATTCAAAACTGCTCAATTAAAAGAGAGGTTCAACTCTGTGAGTTGAATGCACACATCACAAAGAAGTTTCTCAGAATGGTTTTTTGTAGTTTTCATGTGAACATATTTGATTTTCCACAGTAGACCTCACAGCGCTCCAAATATCCACTTGCAGATTGTACAAAAAGAGAGATTCAAAACTGCTCAATCAAAAGACAGGTTCAACTCTGTGAGTTGAATGCACACATCACGAAGTAGTATCAGAGAATGCTTCTGTGTAGTTTTTATTTGAAGATATTTTCTTTTTTACCATAGGGCACAAAGGGCTCCAAATATCCGCTTTCACATTCCACAAAAAGAGAGATTCTAACCTGGTCCATCAAAAGATAGGTTCATCTCTTTGAATTGAATGTACACATCACAAAGAAGTTTCTTAGAATGTTTCTGAGTAGTTTTTATGTGAAGATATTTCTTTTTCCACAACAGGCCTCAAAGGGCTCCAATTACCCACTTGCAGATTCTACAAAAAGAGTGTTTCAAAGCTGCTCAATCAAAAGAAAGGTTCAATTCTGTGAGATGAATGCACACATCACAAAGAAGTTACTCAGAATGCTTCTGTGTAGTTTTTATATGAAGATATTTCCTTTTCCACAATAGGCCTCAATGAGCTCCATATATCCACTTGCAGATTCTACAAAAAGGGTATCAAAACTGCTGAATCAAAAGAAAAGTTCAACTCTCTGAGATGAATGCACACATCACAAAGAAGTTTCTCAGGATTCTTCTGTGTAGTTTTTATTTGAGGATACTTCCTTTTCCACCTTAGGCTGCAAAGGCTTCCTAATATCCACTTGCAGATTCGGCAAAAAGAGAGATTCAAAACTGCTCAATCAAAAGATAGGTTCAACTCTGTGAGTTGAATGCACGTATCCCAAAGTAGTTTCTCAGAATGTTTCTGTATAGTTTTTATGTGAAGATATTTGCTTTTCTACAGTAAGCCTCCAAGGGTCCAAATATTTACCTGTAGATTCTGCAAAAAGAGTGATTCAAAACAGCTCAATCAAATATAGGTTCAGCTCTGTGAGTTGAATGCATACATCACAAAGAAGTTTCTCTGAATGCTTCTGTGTAGTTTTTATGTGAAGATATTTGCTTTTCTACGGTCGGCCTCAAAGCGCTCCAATTTTCCACTTGCAGATTCTACAAAAAGAGTGTTTCTAAACTGCTCACTCATAAGATAGGTTCAACCCTGTGAGATGAATGCACACATCACAACGAAGTTTCTCAGAATATTTCTGTGTAGTTTTTATTTGAAGATATTTCCTTTTCCACCATAGGTCCCAAAGGGCTCCAAATATCCAATTATAGATTCTGCAAAAAGAGAGATTCAAACTGCTGAATCAAAAGATAGGTTCAACTGTGTGAGTTGAATACACACATCCCAAAGAAGTTTCTCAGAGTTCTTCTGTGTAGTTTTTATGTGAAGTTATTTGCTTTTCCACAGTAGGCCTCAAAGGGCTCCAAATATCCACCTGCAGATTCTGCAAAAAGAGAGATTCAAAACTGCTCAATCAAAAAAATGTTCAACTCTGTGAGATGAATGCACACATCACAAAGATGTTTCTCAGAATGCTTCTGTGTAGTTTTTATGTGAAGATATTTGCTTTTCCACACTAGGCCTTAAAGGGCTGCAAATATCGACTTTCAGATTCTACAAAAAGAGTGCTTCAAAACGGCTCAATCGAACGAAAGTTTCACCTCTGTGAAATGAATGCACACATCACAAAATAGTTTCTCAGAATGCTTCTTTGTAGTTTTTATGTGAAGATATTTGCTTTGTCATAATAGGCCTCAAAGCGCTCCAGATATCCACTTGCAGATTCTACAAATAGAGTGTTTCAAAACTGCTCAATCAGAAGAACATGTCAACTCTGTGAGATGAAGGCTCACATCACAAAGAAGTTCCTCATAATGCTTCTGTGTAGTTTTTATGTGAAGAAATTTCCTTTTCGACAATAGGCCTCAAATCGCTCCAAATATCCACTTGCAGATTCTACAGAAAAAGTGTTTCAAAACTGCTCAATCAAAAGAAGTGTTCAACTCTGTGAGATGAATGCACACATCACAAAGAAGGTTCTCCGGATGATGTCCGAATAGGAACAGCTCCAGTCTACAGCTCCCAGCGTGAGCGACGCAGAAGACGGGTGATTTCTGCATTTCCTTCTGAGGTTCTGTGTTCATCTCACTAGGGCATGCCAGACAGTGGGCCCAGCACAAGTCTCTGCACCCTGGAAAGTGTGACCATGTTGACTGTTTGTTTCCCGACCTCTGTGGGGCCCCAGAAACTTCCAGAAATACATGGAAGACCAGCATCGTGTCGCTCTCCTTTCCAGTTTTCAAACAGGCTATATTGGAGACTCCCCATTTTTCAGGAAACAGGAATCATTCTTCAGGACGTGATGCATGGGACGTTTCTTTTCTCTGTGGTTTCGCTCTCCTTGTCTACATGAAAATAAACGAGATCCACACACCTGCGTGTGTGAGACTATTACGGCAACTGTGACACCCACGCGCTGGCTAAGAGTTGGCAGCCTGATCCTGGCACAAAGGTTCTGAGGGACATCCAGACACACCCCACCACAGTCACTAGCAAACCCACTCCCAAACACACAGATACACAGGGGCGCACGCGTGGGAACACAAGCACACACACAGACACACAAAGACACAGACAGCTTGAAGAAGAACAAGGGACAGAGAGATGGAGAGATAGAAACGGAAGGAGAGTGAGAAACAGCGATCGAGAGAAAGACAGAGAAGAACCTGGGAGATTGAGAGAGAGAGCACGCAAGGTGGAGAGGGAAGTAGAGAAAGGGAGAGGGTGAGGGAGCTAGAGAGGGGGAGCAACAGAGCCTTGGAGAGGGAGGCTCTGCTCTGGTAGACAGGGGCCCCTTTGGCGAGGGTAGGGTCGAGGGTGCCTGGGCCGGGCTGGAACAGGGGGGCAGGGCTGCCCACACGGGAAAACCAACGGAGCCCTGAGACATGTTTTTACTTGGATTGGTTTGTTGCTTTGGGTGTGTGTTTCCTAGGGTCATTCCTTTGTTGGCTCCTCCCTGTCCTCTTGGTGCTGTGGGCTCTGAAAGTTGTAGAGTGCTCCTGCCCTGTGGTGGAAGCAGTGGCGCCGAGCCTGCTCACAGGACACAGCTTGGGTCTGTCTTAGATTTGTCTTCGTGGGGCGATTTTCTAGATCCTCCCCTGCCTCTTTCTCTACATCTTCTTTAAAACCAATAACTCTTAGATCTGTCTTTGTGAGGTTATTTTCTAGATCCTGTAGGCATGATTTGCTGTTTTTATTCTTTTTCTTTTGTCTCTTCTATGTATTTTCAAAGAGCCTGTCTTCTCTGCTTGATCCATTCTGCTATTACATGGCTCTAATGCATTGTTCAGCATGCCAACTGCATTTTTCAGCTCCAGAATTTCTGCTTAATTCGCTGTAACTATTTCAATCTCTTTTTTGAGTTTAGCTGATAAAATTTGGAATTTCTTTACTTTGTTATCTTAAATTTCTTTCAGTTTTTTTTAAATACAGCTATTTTGAATTCTCTGTCTGAAATGTCACATATCTCTTTTTCTCCAGGATTTGTCCCTGGTACCTTATTTAGTTCACTTGGTGAGGTCATGTTTTCCTGGACAGTGTTGATGCTAGTAGATGTTCTTCAGTGTCTGGACATTAAAATCTTGGGCATGTAGCACCATATGAGAGGTTTAAAAAAATAAAATTTAAAAAGAGTATAGGTGAGTATTTATTGTAGTCTTCACTGTCTGTGCTTATTTGTAGCTGTCTTTCTTGGGAAGGCTTTTCACATATTTGAAAAAAACTTGGGTGTTGTGATCTAAGCCATATCTGCTTTATGGGGCACCTTATACCCAATAATGCGGTAATTCTTCCAGACTCAGAGAAGTACCACCTTGACAGCCTTCAACAAGATCCAGGAGAATTTTCTGGATTACTAGCCAGAGACTTTTTCCTTACCCTTATTTTCTCTCAAAGATACAGAGTCTTTCTCTCTATTCTAAGCCACCTAAAGCTTAGAAAGAGAGAAGAAAGACACAAGCACCGCTGGCCACCACCACTATGACTGCCCTGGATCAGACCTGAAACTAGCACAGCACCGGATCTTGCTCAAGTTCTTCTGCATGCACTTTCTGACGACTGCCTATGTTCACTCAAGGCCTTTGGTCTCTACAATTAGCAGGTGGCAAAGCCAGAGAGTCCTGTGTTCTTTCCTTTAGGGCAGTGAGATCCCTCAGTCCCTGGCTGGGTCCAGAAGTGCCATTCAGAAGTCAGGGCTTTGGCCACTTTTTAATAGGGTTTTTTGTTTTTCTCTTGTAAACTTAAGTTCCTTATATTGAATATTAGATCTTTGTCAGATACATAGTTTGTAAATATTTTTTCTCATTCTATATGTTGTTTGTTCACTCTATTGATAATTTCTTTTGCTGAACAGAAGCTTTTAAGTTTAATTAGATCTCACTTGTCAATAGTTGCATTTGTTGTTTTTGGTGTCTTTATCATGAAATCTTTGTCTCTTTCTATGTCCAGAATGGTATTGCCTAGCTTGCCTTCCAGGGCTTTTATAGTTTTGGGTTTTACATTTAAGTATTTAACCCATCTTGGATTGATTTCTGCGTATGGTATACGGAAGAAGTCCAACTTCAATCTTCTGCATATGGCTAGCCAGTTATTCCAGTATCATTTATTGAATAGGGAATCTTTTCCCCATTGCTTGTTTTTGCCAGCTTTGTCAAATATTAGATAGTTGTAGGTATGTGGTCTTATTTCTAACTTCTCTATTCTGCTCCATTGGTGTATGTGTCTGTTTTTGTACTAGTACCATGCTGTTTTGGTTACTATAGTGCTATAGTATAGGTTGAAGTCAGGTAATGTGATGCCTCAAGCTTTGTTCTTTTTGCTTAGGATTGCCTTGGCTACTTAGGTTCTTTCTTGGTTCTATATGAATTTCTAAATAGCTTTTTTCTACTTCCATGAATCATGTCATTGCTGGTTTAATAGGAATAGCTTTTGGCAGTACGACCATTTAAATTATATTAATTCTTTCTCTCCATTAACATGGAATGGTTTTTCTTTTGTTTGTATCTTCTCTGACTTCTTTGAGCAGTGTTTTGTAATTTTCATTGTAGAGATTTTTCAACTCCCTGGTTAGCTGTATTCGTACATGTTTTATTCTTTTTGTGGAAATTGTGAATAAAATTGCCTCTCTGATTTGGCTCTTAGTTTGACTCTTCTTGGTATATAGGAATGCTAGCAAATTCTGTACATTGATTTTGTGTCCTGAAACTTTGTGGAAGTTGTTTATCTGCTTAAAGAGCTTTTGGGTCACAACTATAGGGTTTAGATAGAGAATTATGTTGTCTGCAAACAGAGATAGTTGGACTTCCCTTTCTATTTAAATATGCTTTATTTCTTTCTCTTGTCTGATTGCTCCAGAAAGGACTTCTAATACTATGTTGAATAGGAGTGGTGAGAGAGGGCATCCTTGTCTTGTGTGGGTTTCAAGGAGAATGCGTCCAGATTTTGCCCATTTAGTAAAATGTTGGCTGTGAGTTTGTCATAGGTGGCCTTTATTATTTTGAGGTATGTTCCTTCGATACTTCATTTATTGAGAATTTTTAACATGAAGCTTTGTTGAATTTTACTGAAAGCCTTTTCTGCATCTGTTGAGACAATCACGTGGTCTTCTCTTTAGTTTTATTTATGTTACATATCACATTTTATTGATTTGCCCATGATGGACCAACCTTTCATTCCAGGGAAGAAGCTTAGTTCACTATGGTGAATTAGCCTTTTGATGTGTTGCTAAATTCGGTTTGCAAGTATTTTGTTGTAGATTATTGAATGGATGTTCATCAAGGATACTGGCCTGAAGTTTTCTTTTTTTGTTGTATCACTGCCAGGCTTTGGTATCAGGATGATTCTGGTCTCGTAGAACAAGTTGGGGAAGAGTCCCTCCTCCTGTATTTCTTGAAATAGTTTTAGTAGGACTAGTAGTGGCTCTTCTTTGTACATCTGTTAAAATTTGTTAATCTATCAGGTCCTGGGCTTTTTCGAGGGGTTGGTAGGCTATTTATTATGGATTCAATTTTTGGAGCTCATAATTGGTCTGTTCAGAGACTAAATTTCTTCCTGGCTCAGTCTTAAGAGAGTGTATGTGTCCAGGAATTTATTCGTCTCTTCTGGGGTTTCTAGTTTGTGTGTGTAGAGGTGTTCACAGTAGTTGCTGGTTGTTATTTTTATTTCTCTGGGGTCAGTGGTAACATTCCCTTCATCATTTCTAATTTTGTTTATTTGAATCTTTTCTCTTTTCTTCTTTATTAGTCTAGCTAGTGCCTTATCTATCTTAGTATTTTTTTCATAAAACCTTGATTAAGTGATCTTTTGAACAGTTTTTCTTGTCTCAATTTCTTTCAGTTCAGCTCTGATTGCAGTTATTTCTTGTCTTCTATAAGCTTTATGGTTGAGTTCTTCTTGCTTCTCTAATTCTTTCAGTTGTGATGTTAGGTTGTTAATTTGAGATCTTTCTAACTTTTTGATATGGGCATTACTTCTTATGCCCTACTCTAATTTTTCTCCTTCTCCTAGAAAACTCAGAACTATGCTTTCTAAACCAATAGAAACTTTCTCACCGAATCAACCTGGTCCCCCTGAGGCATAGTTAGCAATTTTCCATTACACATGGTTCTCTTTCTCTGTAAGAACATCTAATGCAACAATGCAAGTGCTTCTTTCCCTCCTGGTAGTGCGGGGAACTCCTTTTGGCTGAGACCACGACTTAAAACCTTGTTCTCTCAACATTAATGAAGATCTATTTAGAAAGCCTCCATTTTTACAGAAAAGATATATAAACACCAATGAAAATAAATATAAAATTATATGACATACAATTATAGTGTGGAAAGACTGAATAAATAAGTGAACTAAGCTCTAAGAAAAAAAGATGATGATATAAAATGATATAGAAGTAAAACCCTTGGCTGATATAGCATAATTAATGTATCAGTTAAATATGTACATAGTAGAAGTGGCAGGAAGACAGCATACAGAGTGAGACCTGACCAGAAGCTTTAAGTAAAGTTCTATACCCTTAAACAAGATTAAAGTGGACTCAGGAAAACATGGTCCACATGAGGAGAAGGACACATGTTCCAGACGGGCCAAATCTCAGAGCATCTCTACCTTCTCCAGGAGGAAAGGGGAGGCAAAGCAACAGGCAGAAGACAGCATGGCCAGGTCGGCACAGGGCACGCAGGCCAAGCCAGGTGGGCTCCATCGTACAGGTAGTGAGGAGCCACTGCCAGGTGGGCTTTATTCATTAGTTTGTTTTGTTTTCTTTAGTAACTAAGACACATAATCAAAGTTGACCTTTGTAAGTATTGCTGCAGCTGAACATAATAAGATGGATAAAACCAGTGTTTTAAAAATTATGTTGTATAGAGCACTAACCCCAGAGAGATATTAGTGGAACACACAGGCGCACACACACACACACACGCACACACACTCACACTGAGCTCAGATTATTCCCGCAAATGCTGGGTTAAGCAAACTAAAAGAAACATCTTTAGTGCTGGACTTCTCAGAACCTGGAATGTGGCTATATGACTCATAAAATAACAAGGTTAAGACGGAGAATGTCATTTTTTTTCCCAGAAATGTTGAAACACTTTCTTTCCCTTGGCTTCAGTGTCACCTTCTTTCTCGTGGTTCTCCATCCACCTCTTTGGCTGCTCCTTCTTGATTTCCTTTTTGACAATCTGCTGCTGCTCAGCCATTCTCTTTTCATTCCACATGGATTTCTCAAGTGTGTTTCTATTCCTGCAGATTAAATTTTCCTCGTTTTTCCTGACAACTCTCCTTGTCTGACCCTCCCCACTTCTAAGGCAGGTGTTCCCTCTGTGTGCACTTTTGGCATCCTGGGATGCTCCCAGCATGTTCCCTGCCACGCTCCATCAGGTTTTCTCCGCAGACTCTGCGAGGTCAGCAGCCTTGTCTCCACCATCCCTTCAATGCACAGCACATAACACAGAAGCTGACTCCATAACATTTAGTTGGCCAACTGAGACTAAATATGTGTTCCTCTAGATCTTAAAAAGTTACAGAAACATAGCACAATAGACAAAAAAATTCTCTTTAGTCAGGAGTTCTCCATATATATACAACAGTTTGAAGTCATTATTAAACAACATGAAACAGAAACTGTCACAGAATTCCCTAAATTATTTTGCTTTAATCTTCAATTCATCATGTGAGATAATGAAGACCTTGTGTCATTGTAAATTTTTCTAGCTTACGACATAACAACCTGATTTTATTGTTTGAAATAACCGTAATATAAATCAGTTAACTAAAAATGGCATAAATAATCCTTTCAAATAAAGTTCTACCAAATTTTACATTACTCATACGTTCAAATGATAATGAGCTCATAGGCTTTTCCAATACCTCAGTCAAAACATTGTACTGATTCCAGCTGTGGGAATAGTATGGGAAAGTTATTTTACAGATGGGGAAAAGGTACCTACGTGACATTGGTCTTTGCACTACTGTGCCCTTTTGGGTCAGGAAAAAGCTGTTCCCTTAAAATCCTAAAATCTCTTCTGTCAGGTCTAAAGGGTGGATGGGAAACATAGTTTTTAAAATTTTAGCCACAGATGTTTTATTCCTTGCTTAAAGCAGTGACTAGATAAAAGCCACTAGGAGAGTCTCCAATGTTTCTTTAGAAGCGTATGCCTGAAAACGTCTTCCTGAAACACTCCCTTGTCTCTGCCCAAAATCACCTTAGGTAGGAAAGTTAAAACTCAGCAGGCTGAGGAGATCCAAGGGGATCACTGAGCTCTGAGGCTTATGAGAGAAAAGAGAGAGGTCTAAGACTTTTTTTGTATAAATTTTTGGTCTCCAAGTGCAATTTTGCTGTAAGCATGGATGGCATAGTGGTGAAGTCAGGGCTTTCAGGTATCCATCACCAGAATAATGCACATTGTACCCATTAAGAAATTTCTCACTATTCACCCCTTCCATCCCCTCACCCTGCTGAGTCTCCTTTATCATTCCACTCTCTACATCAATACCCTCACATCTTTTAGCACCCACTTATGAGTGATAAAATACGATGTTTACTCTGTGTCTGGTTTGCTTCACTTACAACAATGGCCTCCAGTTCCATCCATGTGTCTGCAAAAATTATGATTCTACTGTTTTTTACGCCTGAATAGTATTTCATTGTGTATATTTTCTACATTTTCTTTTTCCAATCATTTGTTGATGGACATTTAGGTTGATTTTATATCTGTGCTACTGTTAATAGTGTTGCAACAAATATAAAAGTACAGTTATCTTTCTGATACATTGATTTTTTTCCTTTGCATAAATACTCAGCGGTGGGATTGCTGAATCAGACAGAGCCAATAGATGATCAGTAATGGTGGCCAATCATCAGCTAGAAACAAAGTACTTAGCAGGGCTTGAAAACACCAAAACTCTAAGACCACTGACCTTCAAAAACTTCAACAGCCCTGAGTGAAAAGTCCGAACACATTTATCTACCATTCAAAGACCCTTCATTTTCTGTCCTCTGCACATCTCAGTAGTCTCTTTTTACCACACTGTCTATATACTGCATGAGCCATTTATATGAAACTGACACTCCAAGGCATCTTATACTATATATTCAATCATGTATCCCTAGTAATTATCACAGTCCTGGCATATAGTTTGCTACTAAACTTTTCCAGAATGAAGCAATTATCTTGTATCCAGGTTCCAAGTTTTAAGGTGATTCTTCACTAAAAAAAGTATCACAGCTCACAAATAATCTTCATTTTTTACAAGTGGGATCGATTTTAATCTTATCCCCTAATAACATTACTTTCATTTACTCCCATCTAAATATACTGTCCTAAGAGAGCAATAAGAAAGAGAATTGAAGCTGGAGCTTGAATAATTGTACACGGTCCTGTGATACCCTACCTTGTTTTAACCTGAGTGACTCTCTCCTAGCGGAGAGAGAGCCGGACAGACTCCATTTTAGTTTCTTCACGTGCAGCCCCTTTACCTCCCTTCCTTAAGGGCATAACTAGTGTAAACTCACTCAAAGCACGTCCAGGAATGCACTTACTATTAAGATATTGAGGCAAGCTGCACCAGCAGCTCCTGGGGACGCGCTCGGTGAATGGCACCCAAAACCCCTGTATTTCTCTCTTTGTGATAGTTTAAGCCCCTGCACCTGGAATGGTTTATTTATTTATTTTTGTAACTGCTTTTGTAACCAATTAATTTTTTTAACAGTTTGCTAGCTCTAGCTCTGCTTCTGTAAAAATTGCTACAGCTAAACTCCCCCCTCCCCTATTTAGACCACGGTATAAAAACAAAACCAGCCCCTTCCTCGGGGCCAAGAGAATTTTGAGCTTTAGCTGCCTCTCGGTCGCTGGTTAATAAAGAACAACTTAATTTGTCTCAAAGGGTGGCTTTCCTCTATAATTCGCTTGGTTACAACAGTCCACACTGTGGCCTGAGGTGCATCGCCCACCTGAGCTTCATCTGTTAGGTATGTCAGGGAAGATAAGCAGGGCGAGAGTGGCCTCATCAGAGGACCCCAGATCTCTGGCTTCCCCATCTGGCAAGTGCACCTCTATGAACAAAGACTTCAGAGCCAGATGACAAGAACGGGCCAAGCAGTCCACCAGGGAAACCTGGGCCCAGTGTACATCAATGCAGAGCATCAAGCACGGTGTAACAGGTGCACAGTTGCCTATTCCTGTTCAGAGATGACTGCATCCCACACACTGTAAAATGAGGAAATGCAGAGAAGCTGATGTAACTGAAGAAGACAGCAGGAGCAACAAGGAGGGACAACCACGACCTAGGAGGGCATGATGCCAGAGACACCTGGACCCCACGCTAGGCTCAGTGCTTGTTATACTCTTGGGACCCAGTGCTTTCCCTCTCCATCATGTGGCATACTTGGCGTTGTTTCTTGTTTAAAATATTGTCCTTAGTTTTCACCTTTCCTAGGAGACACTGGCAGACCCTGTGACACTACAGTGTCTGGCACACAGTAGGTGCATCACAAACATCTGCCGAGTTCACACACTCTTGCCTTCTCAAAACTTCTTGTCAAGTCTTCAGTGAAAAGGAATTGCTGATTGAGCAAGAATTAAACTTCTAGAGACTCCTGGATCCACTGAAGTTTGAGACAAAGTGAGATTTGTTTGCTGTCATATTCCTAGCTCATAGCATACTGTAGTCAATTAAAAAATGTTCGTTGAATCAGTGAGTGAATTGATTCTTACGTCATACTTAGCTATATATTTTCTGAGTAAAATTGATAAATTTAATAGTTTACTTCTAGTATAATTTTACTTTACTTATTCAACGAACCTGACAATTCAACTAGGTGCCAGGCACACCGCTGCTGAACAAAAAGAGGTATAAGATACAATTTCTGTCTACAAGAAATCCACGGTCTAAAGAGTAGAAACATATGAACAAATCATAACAATAAACAGGCTGAATTCAAAATCAGAGGAGTTTGTTTCTATTTTTAACAGCTCTAGTTAGGAAGAGTTAGAAAGTTCTAAACAGGAAATGTTCCAACACACCATCTAAGCATGAAGCAGAAGACACCCATAATTGAGTTTGCTGCCACCAACCCCAACAGCAAGAATTCCAGTCCTGCTGCTGCAAAGTAAGTGTCACTCTGATTTTATTACTGCTGTGTAACGCAGTTTTAGACCCTTTGGTTGTCACTTAATGTTCTAAAAAAGTATTAAAGAGAAAATATTATTATGGTGATGAGCCCATCCACTGAAGCCATCTCAACATCATACCAATTATAAGACCTATCATTTAAAAAGAAAACTGTTAGTTTAACTTATTTATCCAAATATCAGTATTAGATAAACTTGTTTGTCATCAGACTTTGGATTTATGGGTTAAATAGCATAAAAATATGATTAGAGCCTTAAAGTTTACACTTCTCTGGTTTGCTCAAATTTTTTTCAAAATAGCATATGCCTTTCTAAAAAATTGTTAGTATATTTTTTAAAATGAACTTTGAAATATATATTTTCCAAAAACAAAATACAGCTCCCATTGGCAAATGGTGATGTTGAAATACAACAGAAAACTTCTCTTGGGAACCATTTAATCAGTGCTCGCTTTTGCACTCTTTCCAGAAATGTCAATGCCTTTAAAATGTAGAAGTATATTATACAACTAAACTTACACTTATTCAGTATTGTGCAATATTTAGTACTTGTTCTAGCTATCTCTTGCTGAATAGTAAGCCATTCCAAAACTTAAGGAATTATTTATAATTTAATATTGTTTATTGTTATTGTTTAGTGATTATAAATAATGTTATTTCTCATGGTTTTGTGGGTTGGTGGGCACTACAAAAGTTCTCTTTTGGAGTATTTCTTGCAGTTGCGGTTGGTTGGCTGCTGCTGAACTCACCTGAAAGCTCAACTAGGCTAAAGAGCCTAGACGGGTCACTCTTATGGCTGGCAGTGCATATTGGCTGCTGGGTGTGATGCCTATCTGACCTCTCCATGTTACCTGGAGTGCTCACAACTTGGTAGTTGGTCCCAAGGCACACAGGCAAATACCACAAAGCTTCTTAGGACCTAGCCTTGGAGGTCCTAGAATACAACTTCTGCTCCATCCTATTGGTAAAGCAAGTCATTGTGACCAGCACAGATTCAAGAAATGGGAGATTCGACTCTAACTGTCAATGTAAAGAGCAGCATGTGCATGCAGGGAGGAAAGCAATTGAGGGCATCATCTTGAAGACTATCATATCACACCATTATTCCAACTAATGAACATGATGTTTTGGATGGGTAGTACTAGCTACTCATCTCTCCCCCAGAAACCCAACTAAGCATGGACATATTGAAGAGAATGTCAGCACCATTAAAAAAAATTCTAGAAAAATCACATGTGATGACTGAGGTTAATTCAGTCTGTCAATTACATCAATATAATTCCCTTCTTGTAACCCTAAATATGGTGAAGCAGAATTGAATTCTACAAAAGTCTTTCATCTGTTTTCCTGTGGAATAATTAACAAACCCAATGAATGTATAAATAACATGGTCTGATTTATTTTAGATTTTTACCTCTTAATTTCAAAGCTTATAGAAATCCAAAGAAATAATCATCATAATCCACAATGCCTGGACCAGAAGTCCTTGTTCTAAGAGTATCTTGTGGCATGCTAAAAACTTATTACTAACTAGGAAATTTAAAACTTTTTGTTAGTGATTTTAAGAGAGCTGACTAGCTCATCACCACAATTCACACAGAGTAAGAATGGAGATTACTCTGCTGAGTGGATTGATGGTGATCAGAAAAAATCACAAAAGAGGAAAGGAGATAGAGAAGGGGAAACATACTGTCAATCCCTACAATTAAAGTGATTTTTCGAATGGTTTGATTTTGTATTTGCAAAGGAAAGGCAGCTTATTGTGATAGAATAAGAATCCCACTTCTATATCTTTTTTTGTTTGTTTGTTTGAGATGGAGTCTCGCTCTGTCGCACAGGCTGGAGTGCAGTGGTGCGATCTTGGCTTACTGCAAGCTCTGTCTCCCGGGTTCACGCCATTCTCCTGCCTCAGCCTCCCGAGTAGCTGGGACTACAGGCGCCCGCCACCACGCCCGGTTAATTTTTTGTATTTTTTGTAGAGACAGGGTTTCACCGTGTTAGCCAGGATGGTCTCGATCTCCTGACCTTGTGATCCGCCCGCCCCGGCCTCCCAAAGTGCTGAGATTACAGGTCTGAGCCACTGTGCCTGGCTCATCTTCTTTTAAGAAGTGTCTGCTTATGTCCCTTGTCAATGTTTTAATGGGGTTGTTTTCTTAATGTTCAACATCAATAATCATCAGAGAAATGCAAATCAATGTGAGATAACATCTCAGATTAGTCAGAATGGCTACTATTAAAAAGTAAAAAAATAACAAATTCTTGCTAGACTTCAGAGAAAATGAAATGCTTATACACTGTTGGTGAGAATGTAAATTAGTTCAGCCACTGTGAAAAGCAGTTTGGAGATTTTTCAAAGAATTTAAAACAGAAGTACCATTCAACCAGCAATTCCATTACTGAGTATATGTCCAAAATAAAATTAAAAATTCTACAAAAAGAAACCCCACATGCGCTTCTATATGCGTCATATTGCTATTCACAATAGGGAAGGCATGGAATTATCTTATGTGTTAATCAATAAATTGGATAGAAATATGTGCCACATATACACCGTAAAATACTATGCACACATTAAAAATAATACAATCATGTCCTGTGCAGCAACATGCATACTTCTGGAGGCCATTATCCTAGGGAAATTACTACAGGAACAGAAAACCAAATACCACATGTTCTTGCCTATAAGTAGGATCTAAACATGGGGTACTCATGAATATAAAGATGACAACAATAGACACTGAGAACTACTAGATGAAGGAGGGAAGGAGGAGGGCAGGGGGTGAGAAACGATGAGTGCTATGCTTACTGCCTAGCTGATGGGATCAATTATATCCCACAATATATGCTCACTACCTTGGTGATGGGATCAATAATATCCCACATGGCTCAGCATCACACAATATATCCATGTAATAAACCTGCAAATATACTCCCTGAATCTAAAAAATTTAAGGCAGAGACAGAATAAGAGGGCAGAATAGAAGCCTACATTCTCATCCACCACACAAAAACACCAAATTTTCACAACTCACTACATTCAAGAAGCACTGTCAAAGGGACCAAAAATTGGGTGAGCAATCACAGTACCTGGTATTAACTTCATATCACAGAAACAGACATTGGAGAAGACAAACAAATAAAAGACGGTCTAGAAGCAAGGATGCCACCTCTTTTTCAACCACCAGTAGTGGCTACATCGTGCAGAGATTGTATGTTTGGGAGAGGGAGAGCATAGTTTGTGAGGCTTTGCAATAAACTCAGTACTACCCTGTCACAGTGAAAAGCAGAACGAGACTGTACTCAGCTGACATCTGCCAATGGGGGGAGCACTTGTATTGGCCTTACAAAGAGGAAAACCTCCCATCCCAGTATTGGGAGCTTCAGTTTTTGCAAGTCTTGCCATCATGTGTTGACGTGCTATTGGACTCTAAGAGAACTTAAGGGGCAGTCTAGGCCACAAGGACTTCAATTATTAGGCAAGTCATATTCCGAGCTGGGCTCAGAGCCAGTGGAATGTGGAGGGTGGGGAGAATGGAGTCTACTGAGACAACAGCCAGAGAAGCTAAGGGAGTGCTCACAAAACCACTCGCCCACTCCCACCTAGCAGCAGCCACACAACACAGAGAAACCTGTGAATTTGGGAGAGGGAGAGCACAGTGACTGGAGGACTTTGCATTAAACTCAGTGCTGCCATGTCAGTAAAGATCTGGCAGAATTCATCACCTGCTGAATAAAGAACCCCCGTACCCACAATAAAAAACAGTGACAACCAGGTAATACACCATGGGCATTGGGCTCTGAGAAGCGCCAACTTCAGGTGTGACCCAATACATTTCCAGCTGTGGGAGCTATGGTGAAAGACTTCTGTTTGAGAAAAGCAGGTGGGAAAGTAAAGGGAACTCTGTGTTGCACCTGATATGCCAGCTCAACAACAGTGGGGTAGAGCACCAAGCAGATTCTTAGAGTCCCTGAGTCCAGGCCTAAGGTCTTCTTGGTCAGCATTTCTGCGCTTGCCCGGGGCCAAAGGTCGAGTCCCAGACATTGCAGAATTTATCACAAGCTAATTAAAGAGTGCTTGGGCTTTAAGTGAGAAAGTGATGATGATTTGGTGGAAACCCCCCATTGGCCAGGAGTGTTGGCAGTCATAGAAGAGGCTCTTCTGCCTGCAGACAGGGGAAGGAAGAGTAGAAAATACTTTGTCTTATTCCCTAAGTGCCAGGTTAGCTACAGTAAAATAGAAGAGCAGGTAAATTTTGAAGATTCTATGCTTTAATCTCTGGCTCCCAGGTAGCATCTGTGGACCCACTCATGGCTAGGGGAACTTGCCACCCTATAGGCAGAGACACAAACACGGCTGGCTTTGCCACATATTAATCACAGAGTCCTATGGCTTTGAATAAACATATGGTAGCCAAGTAGTGTTGCAGTGGGCCTTGCGTGAGACCAAGTTCTGTGCCTACTTCAGGTGTGAATCAGCACAGTCTCAGTGGTGGTGGCCACAGGAGTGCTTATGTTACCCCAACCCCAGCTTCACATGTCTCAGCACAGAAAGAGAGACTGCTGATTTGAGAGAAAGTAAGGGAAGAGAACAAGAGTCTTTACTTGATAAATCACGAGAATTTTTCTTGATGTTAATCCAAGGCAACCAAGGCAGTACCTCTATGTGTTTGCATAAACTACTGTGCTATTGGGTTTGGAACCCAAGTTTCTTTGAATACCTGGAAAGTGTTCCTAAAGATAATGGGCACTAACAAGCCCAGACTGTGAAGACTACAGTAAAGACTGAACTCTTCAATGTGTAGATACAGATGAACATCTACAAGTATCAAGGCCATCCAGGAAAACATGACCTCACCAAAGAAGCCAAATAAAGCACTAGGGACAAATCCTGGAAAAAACAGAGATGTGTGACCTTTCATATAGGAAATCCAAAATAGCTCGTTGTGGTAATTCAAAGAAATGTACAAAATAACACAGAGAAAGAATTCAAAATTCTATCAGATAAATTTAACAATGAGATTGAAATAAAAGAATAAAGCAGAAATTCTGAAGTTAAAATGCTATTGTCATACTGAAGAATGGATCAGAATTATTTAAAAGAATTGACCAAGAAGAAGATAGATTTAGTGAACTTGAAGTCAGACTATTTAAAAACACAAAGTCAGAGGAGACAAAAAAGAATAAAAAATAAAGCATGCCTATGGAATTTAAAAAATAGCCTCAAAATAGCAAATCTAAGTGTTATTGGCCTTAAAGAGGAGGTAGAAAAAGAGATGAGTTGAACATTTATTTAAATAAATATATTAAATCATATTAAACAATTCCTCAACATTTGATATCAATATTCGAGTAACAAAAAGTTACAGAACATAAAGCAGATTTAACCCAAAGAAGACCACCTCAAGGCACTTAACTGAACTCCCAAAGGTTAAGGATAAAGAAATGATTCTAAAAGCATCGAGAGAAGAGAAACAAATAACTTTCAGTGGAACTCCAATACATCTGACAGCAGACTTTTCAGGGGAAAATTTACAGGCTGGGAGACTGGCATGACATATTAAAAAAGCTGAAGGAAAAAAAAGACTTTTACTTTAGAATAATGTATCTGGCAAAAAGGTCCTTTAAACTTGAAGGAAAAATAAGAACTTTTTCCGACAAACAAAAACTGAGGGATTTCATTAACACCAGACCTGTCCTACAAGAAATGCTAAAGGGATATCTTAACCTAAAAGAAAAAAAGTTAGTGAGCAAGAAGAAATCATCTGAAGGTACAGAACTCACTAGCAATAGCACATGGAAAAACACTGAATATTATAATACAGTAATTATGGGGTGCAAAAATCTCAAATAGAAAGAGTAAACATATGAACTTTAAAGTAGTTTTTTCCAATTCTGTGAAGAAAGTCATCGGTAGCGTGATGGGGATGGCATTGAATCTATAAATTACCTCGGGCAGTATGGCCATTTTCATGATATTGATTCTTCCTACCCATGAGCATGGAATGTTCTTCCATTTGTTCGTATCCTCTTTTATTTCCTTGAGCAGTGGTTTGTAGCTCTCCCTGAAGAGGTCCTGCACATCCCTTGTAAGTTGGATTCCTAGGTATTTTATTCTCTCTGAAGCAATTGTGAATGGGAGTTCACTCATGATTTGGCTGTCTGTCTGTTATTGGTGTATAAGAATGCTTGTGATTTTTGTACATGGATTCTGTATCCTGAGACTTGGCTGAAGCTGCTTAACAGCTTAAGGAGATTTTGGGCTAAGACAATGGGGTTTTCTAGATATACAATCATGTCATCTGCAAACAGGGACAATTTGACTTCCTCTTTTCCTAATTGAATACCCTCTATTTCCATCTCCTGCTTGATTTCCCTGGCCAGAACTTCCAACACTATGTTGAATAGGAGTGGTGAGAGAGGGCATCCCTGTCTTCTGTCAGTTTTCAAAGAGAATGTTTCCAGTTTTTGCCCATTCAGTATGACATCGGCTGTGGGTTTGTCATAGATAGCTCTTATTATTTTGAGATACGTCCCATCAATACCTAATTTATTCAGAGTTTTTACCATGAATGTTGTTGAATTTTGTCAAAGGCCTTTTCTGCATCTATTGAGATAATCATGTGGTTTTTGTCTTTGGTTCTGCTTATATGCTGGATTACATTTATCGATTTGCATATGTTTAACCAGCTTTGCATCCCAGGGATGAAGCCCACTTGATCATGGTGGATAAGCTTTTTGATGTGCTGCTGGATTTGGTTTGCCAGTATTTTATTGAGGATTTTTGCATCAATGTTCATCAAGGATATTGGTCTAAAATTCTCTTTTTTTGTTGTGTCTCTGCCCGGCTTTGGTATCAGGATGATGCTGGCCTCATAAAGTGAGTTAGGGAGGATTCCCTCTTTTTCTATTGATTGGAATAGTTTCAGAAGGAATGGTACTAGCTCCTCCTTGTACCTCTGGTAGAATTCGGCTGTGAATCCATCTGCTCCTAGGCTTTTTTGATTGGTAAGCTATTGATTATTGCCTCAATTTCAGAGCCTGTTATTGGTCTATTCAGAGATTCAACTTCTTCCTGGTTTAGTTTTGGGAGGGTGCATGTGTCGAGGAATTTATCCATTTCTTCTAGATTTTCCGATTTATTTGCATAGAGGTGTTTATTGTATTCACCGATGGTAGTTTGTATTTCTGTGGGATCGGTGGTAATATCTCCTTTATCATTTTTTATTGCATCTATTTGATTCTTCTCTCTTTTCTTCTTTATTAGTCTTGCTAGCAGTCTATCAATTTTATTGAACTTTTCAAAAAACAAGCTCCTGGATTCATTGACTTTTTGAAGGGTTTTCTGTGTCTCTATTTCCTTCAGTTCTGCTCTGATTTTAGTTACTTCTTGCCTTCTGCTAGTTTTTGAATGTGTTTGATCTTGCTTCTCTAGTTCTTTTAATTGTGATGTTATGGTGTCCATATTAGATCTTTCCTGCTTTCTCTTGTGGGCATTTAGTGCTATAAATTTCCCTGTACACACTGCTTTGAATGTGTCCCAGAAATTCTGGTGTGTTGTGTCTTTGTTCTCATTGGTTTCAAAGAACATCTTTATTTCTGCCTTCATTTCGTTATATACCCAGTAGTCATTCAGGAGCAGGTTGTTCAGTTTCCATGTAGTTGAGTGGTTTTGAGTGAGTTTCTTAATCCTGAGTTCTAGTTTGATTGCACTGTGGTCTGAGAGACAGTTTGTTATAACTTCTGTTCTTTTACGTTTGCTGAGGAGAGCTTTACTTCCAACTATGTGGTCAATTTTGGAATAGGTGTGGTGTGGTGCTGAAAAGAATGTGTATTCTGTTGACTTGGGGTGGAGAGTTCTGTAGATGTCTATTAGGTCCACTTGGTGCAGAGCTGAGTTCAATTCCTGCATATCCTTGTTAACTTTCTTTCTCATTGATCTGTCTAATATTAACAGTGGGGTGTTAAAGTCTCCCATTATTATTGTGTGGGAGTCTAAGTCTCCTTGTAGGTCTCTAAGGACTTGCTTTATGAATCTGGGTGCTCCTGTATTGGGTGCATATGTATTTAGGATAATTAGCTCTTCTTGTTGAATTGATCCCTTTACCATTATGTCATGGCCTTCTTTGTCTCTTTTGATCTTTGTTGGTTTCATGTCTGTTTTATCAGCGACTAGGATTGCAACCCCTGCCTTTTTTTGTTTTCCATTTGCTTGGTAGATCTTCCTCCATCCCTTTATTTTGAGCCTGTATGTATCTCTGCACATGAGATAGGTTTCCTGAATACAGCACACTGATTCGTCTTGACTCTTTATCCAATTTGCCAGTCTGTGTCTTTTAATTGGAGCATTGAATGCATTTACATTTAAGGTTAATATTGGTATGTGTGAATTTGATCCTGTCATTATGATGTTAGCTGGTTATTTTGCTCATTAGTTGATGCAGTTTCTTCCTAGCATTGATGGTCTTTACAATTTGGCGTTTTTCAGTGTCTGGTACCAGTTTTTCCTTTCCACATTTAGTGTTTCCTTCAGAAGCTCTTTTAGGGCAGGTCTGGTGGTGACAAAATCTCTCAGCATTTGTTTGTCTGTAAAGGATTTTATTTCTCCTTCACTTATGAAGTTTAGTTTGGCTGGATATGAAATTTTGGTTTGAAAATTCTTTTCTTTAAGAATAATGAATATTGGCCCCCACTCTCTTCTGGCTTGTAGAGTTTCTGCCGAGAGATCAGCTGTTAGTCTGATGGGCTTCTCTTTGTGGGTAACCTGACCTTTGTCTCTGGCTGCCATTAACATTTTTTCCTCATTTCAACTTTGGTGAAACTGACAATTATGTGTCCTGGTGTTGCTCTTCTCAAGGAGTATCTTTGTGGCATTCTCTGTATCTCCTGAATGTGAATGTTGGCCTGCCTTCCTAGATTGGGGAAGTTCTCCTGGATATTGTCTTGCAGAGTGCTTTCCAACTTGGTTCCATTCTCCCCGTCACTTTCAGGTACACCAATCAGACCTAGATTTGGTCTTTTCACATAGTCCCATATTTATTGGAGGCTTTGTTCATTTGTTTTTATTTCTTTTTCTCTTAACTTCTCTTCTCGCTTCATTTCATTCATTTCATCTTCCATCACTGATACCCTTTCTTCCAGTTGATCCAATCGGCTACTGAGGCTTTGGCATTCATCACTTAGTTTTTGTGCCATGGTTTTCAGCTCCATCAGGCCCTTTAAGGATTTCTCTCCATTGGTTATTCTACTTAGCCATTCATCTAACTTTTTTTCAAGGTTTTTAACTTCTTTGCCATGGGTTCAAAATTTCTCCTTTAGCTTAGCATAGTTTAATCATCTGAAGGCTTCTTCTCTCAACTCCTCAAAGTCATTCTCCTTCTAGCTTTGTTCCGTTGCTGGTGAGGAGCTGCGTTCCTTTGGAGGAGGAGAGGAGCTCTGATTTTTAGAGTTTCCAGTTTTTCTGCTCTGTTTTTTCCCCATATTTGTGGTTTTATCTACCTTTGGTCTTTTATGATGGTGACGTACAGATGGGTTTTTGGAGTGGATGTCCTTTCTGTTTGTTAGTTTTCCTTCTAACAGTCAGAACCCTCAGCTGCAGGTCTGTTGGAGTTTGCTGGAGGTCCACTCCTGACCCTGTTTACCTGGGTATCAGCAGCAGTGGCTGCAGAACAATGGATATTGGTGAACTGCAAATGCTGCTGCTTGATCGTTCCTCTGGAAGTTTTGTCTCAAAGGATTACCCGGCCATGTTACGTGTCAGTCCACCTCTACTGTGGGGTGCCTCCCAGTTAGGCTACTAGGGGTTCAGGGACCCAGTTGAGGAGGCAGTCTGCCCATTCTCAGATCTCCAGTTGCATGCTGGAAGAATCACTACTCTCTTCAAAGCTGTCAGACAGGGACATTTAAGTCTGCAGAGGTTTCTGCTGCCTTTTATTTGGCTATGCCCTAGCCCCAGAGGTGGAGTCTACAGAGGCAGACAGGCCTCCTTGAGCTGAAGTGGGCTCCACCCAGTTCAAGCTTCCCAGCTGCTTTACCTACTCAAGCCTCAGCAATGGCAGGGGACCCTCTCCAAGCCTCACTGCCACCTTGCAGTTTGATCTCATACTGCTGTGCTAGCAATGAGTGAGGCTCTGTGGGCATAGGAACCTCCAAGCCAGGCGTGAGATATAATCTCCTGGTGTGCCGTTTCCTAAGACCATTGGAAAAGTGCAGTATTGGGGTGGGAGTGACCCAATTTTCCAGGTGCCGTCTGTCACGCCTTTCTTTGACTAGCAAAGGGAATTCCCTGACCCCTTGTGCTTCCTGGGTGAGGTGATGTCTTACCCTGCTTCTGCTCATGCTCAGTGCACTGCACCCACTGTGCTGCACACTCTGTCTGACACTTCCCAGTGAGATGAACCCGGTACCTCATTTGGAAATGCAGAAATCACCCATCTTCTGTGTCGCTCATTCTGGGAGCTGTAGACTGGAGCTGTTGCTATTTGGCCATCTTGGCTCCAACCTCTGTTTTGCTTGTTTCTTTGTTTATGCAACCAGTGTTAAATTGTCCACAGTCTAAAATCATGTATTATATTATTTTCAAACCTCATGGGAATTTCAAATCAAAAGGTGTACCAAAGATGTACAAAAAGTAAAAAGCAAGAAATTAGATTATAATTCAAGAGAAATCACCTTCACTAAAAGGAAGACAGGAAGAAAGGAAAAAAGGAAGAGAGGACAAAAATCAATCAGAAAACAAATTAAAAAATGGCAGGAGTAAGTGCTTATCACTGATAACATTGAATTTAAATGAACTAAATACTCCAGTCAAAAGAAAAATAGTGGATGAATGGATAGAGAAGCAGGACAATAATCTGTGACCCACAAAAAAAAACATACTTTACCTACAAAGATACATTTAGACTGAAAATAAAAGGATGGAAAAAGTTATCCCATGCCAATAGAGACCAAAAAAAGCAGAAATAGCCATACTTATACCAGACAAAAATAGATTTCCACAAAAGACTGTAGGAAGAAATTAAAAGGTCATTATATAATAATAAAGAGATCAATTCATCAAGAGGATATAATAATTGAAAATATATATGCACCCAACACTAAAGCACCTAGATAAATGAAGCAAATATTATGAGCTAAAGAAAGAGACCTCAATACAATAATGGCTGGACGCATCAACACCCCAGTTTAGTCATTGGGTAGACCTTCCAGACAGAAAACAAACAAATAAACATCAGACTCAATCTGTACTATAGAACAAATGAACCTAATAGATATTTACAGAAAATTTCATCCAACAGCTGCAGAATACACATTCTTCTCCTCAGCACATGCATTATTTTCAAGGATTGACCATATGTTAAGGAACAAGTCTAAAAACATTCCAAAAAATTGAAGTAATATCAAGCATTTTCTCTGACTACAGGGGATAAAACTAGAAATCAATTAAAAAAGGAATTTAAGAAACTATGCAAACACATGGACATTAAGCAACATGCTCCTGAATGATTAGTAGGTTGATAAAAATGTTAAGAAGAAAATAGAAAAATTTCTTGAAACAAATGATAATGGAAACATAGCATAGAAAAACTTATGGAATATAGTAAATATATACTATTATAAAAGGAAAATTTATAACTGTAAGTGCCTACATAAAAAACAGAAAAGCTTCAAATAAATAACCTAACAATACATCTTAATTAACTAGAATAAAAGACCAAACCTAACCCAAAATTAGAAGAAAAGAAATAATAAAGATTAGAGCAGAAGTAGATAAAGTTAAAATGACGAAAATAATGTAAAGAATTAATGAAAGAAAATGTTGATTTTTTCAAAAGTAAAACAATTGACAAATATTTAAACAGGCTAACTAAAAAACAGAAAAGATGCAAATTAGTAAAATCAGAGGTAAAAAGGAGACATTACAAATAATGCTTCAGAAAAGCAAAGGATCATTGGTAAATAATATCAGCAATTGTATGCCAACAAATTAGAAAACCTAGAGGAAATTAATTCTTAGACACACACAACTTACCAAGATTTAACTAGGAAAAAAACCTAAAACCTGAACAGATCAATAACAATTAACAAAATTAAAGCCTTAATAAAAAAGTCTGTAGGACCAGACTGAAAACTAGAGAAGGAAAGAACATTTCCAAACTCATTCTTTAAGGCTAGTATTACCCTGATATCAAAACCAGACAAAGACACATTAAAAAAAGGGAACTACAGGCCCATATCTGAGAATATTGGTGGAAAAATTTGCAAAACACCTAACAAACTGAATTAAGCAATACATGAGTAGGTAATTCATAATTACCAAGTGGGATTTATCCCAGGGATGCAAGGATGGTTCAACATGCAAATCAATCGATGTGATAGATCACATAAAGAGAATGAAGGGGCCAGGCACAGTGGCTCACACCTGTAATCCCAGCAATTTGGTAAGCCGAGGTGGGCAGATCACCTGAGGTTAGGAGTTTAAAACCAGTCTGGCCAACAGGGCGAAGCCCCGTCTCTACTAAAATTACAAAAATTAGCCAGGCGTGGTGTGGGCACCTGCGATACCAGCTACTCAGGAGGCTGAAGAAGGAGAATCACTTGAACCTGGGAGGCAGAGTTTGCATTGAGCTGAGATCATGCCATTGCCCTCCAGCCTGGGTGACAGAGGGAGACTTCATCTCAAAAAACAAAACAAAACAAAACAAGGACAAAATCCAGATAATCATTTCAATTATGCTAAAAAAGTTTTGATAAAATTTAATATTCTTTAATAATAAAAAACCCTTTGAAAACTGGGTATGGAATGAATATACCTCAACATAATAAAAGTCATATATGACAGACCCACAGCTAGTATCACACTAAGTGGGGAAAATCTAAAAGTCTTTCCTCTAAAATCTGGAAGATGACAAGAATGTCCACTTTTACCACTGTTATTCAACATAATGCTGAAAGTCCTATCTGGAGCAATCAGACAGGAGAAAGCAATAAAACGCATCCCAATTGGAAAAGAAGTCAAATTACCTTTTTTTTTTTGCCAGTTATATAATCTTATATTAGAAAAAGCATAAAGACTCCTCTGATAGGGTTTGAATGTGTGTCCCCTAACAAATTTCATATTTAAATGTAATTCTCAATGTTGAATATGGGCCTGGTGAAAGGTGATTTAACCATTGGGGTGGATTACTCATAAATGGCTTAGCACCATCCCATTTGTTGTTATCCTCATGATAGTGAGTGAGTTCCCATAAGATCTGGTTATTTAAAACTGTGTAACAACTCGCCGCTCTGTTCTTTGCTCCTGCTTTTTGCCCTGTGATGTGCAAGATTCTGCTTCAACTTCTGCCATGACTGTAAACTTCCAGAGACCTCTCCAGAAGCATATTCCAGTGGTATGTCTTCTCTACAGCCTGTAGAATCATAAGCCTCTTAAACCTACTTTGTAAAAAATAAATTATCCAGTCCCACTCTCATAGTGATGCAAAAATAGCTTAATACAGAAAATTGGCACCAAGGAATGGAAAATGGTTATAAGAATACCCCAAAATGTGGAATCAGCTTTGTAATTGGATAAACAGGCAGAAGTTGGAAGAGTTTGTAGGATTCAGAAGACAGAAAAATGAGGGAAAGTTGAGATTTTCTTAGAGACTGGTTGAATGTCTGTGACCAAAATGCTGATAGTGATCTGGACAGTGAAGCCCGGGCTGAGGAGGTCTCAGATGAAAACTAGAAACTTATTGGGACTGAAACAAAGGTCATGCATGTTGTCTTAGCAAAGTGGTTGGCTGAATTTCTGTCATGCCCTAGGGATATATAAAAGTTTGAATTCGAAATTGATGATTTAGGGTTTCTGTTGGAAAAATGTCTAAACAGCAAAGCAGTTGTGATGTGGCCTGGCTGCTTCTAACAACCTATGCTCACATATTCTAGCAAAAGAATAAAAATAAAATAAGTAGTAACTTATACTTACAAAAGAAGCATAGTGTAAAAGCTTGAAAACTTTGCAGCCTAGTCAGGTGGCTGAAATATAAAAAGCTTTTATAAGAGAGGAACTCAAGCAGGATATGGGTCAACTACTTGTTAGAGATATTTGTATAACCTAAAAAAAAGCAAGTGTTGATAGCCAAGGCAATGGGAAAGAGGAATTGAAGGCATTTTAAAAATCTAAAAGGCAGCCCCCCATCACAGGCCCTGAGGCCTAAAAGAAGAGAATAGTTTCTGGGATCAGACTAGGACCTGCTGCCTTGGGTAGCTTTGGAACAAGGCTCCCTGCATCCTGGCCACTGCTTCAGCTCTAGGTGTAGCTCAAATTGATCCAGTTACAACTCCAGTCACTGCTTCAGAGTGTGCAAGCCATAATCTTGGTAGCTTTCATGTGGTGTTAGGCCTGTGGGTTTACCAAATGCAAGTAGTTGAGACTTGGGAGCCTCCACCTTTATTTCAAAGGATGTATGAAAAAGCCAGGGTGTGCAGGCAGAAGCATGCTGCAGGGGTGGAGCCCTCATGGAGATCCTGTACTAAAACAATGGAGAAAAGAAATGTGGGGTGACAGTCCCCAGGCAGGATCCCCACTGGGTCATGGCCTAGTATATCTATGAGGAGGGGATCACTGTCCTCCAGACCCCAGAATGGTAGATCTAGCTACAGCCTGCACCTTGCACCTTGAAAAGCCAGAGGCACAGAATGCCAGCCCATGAGAGCAGCTGTGGGGGCTGAACCATGCAAAGTCACAAGGTAGAACCTTCCCAAGGCATTAGTGTGCCCTGGAAATGGGACACAGAGTCAAAAATAATTATTTTGGAGCCTTACAATTGAATAACTGCCCTTCTGGGTTTCAGACTTTCATGGGTCCTGTGGCCCCTTTCTTTTGGCTGATTTCTTCCTTTTAGAATAGGAATATTTACCCAATGCCTCTGCCTCATTTATGTCTTGGAAGAACCTAACTTGTTTTTTGTTTTTTTTTTATTTTACAGGCTTATAGAAGGAAGAAATTAGCTTTGTCTTAGATGAGACTTTTGACTTTTGAGTTAAGGCTGAAATTAGTTAAGACTTTGGGGATTATTGGGAAGTCATGATTGTATTTTGAAATATGAGAAGGATATGAGATTTGGAATGGCCAGGGGCAAAATGATACAGTTTGGATGTGTATTCCCACCAAAATCTTATATTGAAATATAATCCTCAATGTTGGATGTGGGCCTATAGGGGAGGTGATTGAATCATGAGGGCAAGATTTCCATGAACAGTTTGGCATCATTTACTTCGGTGCCATTCCCACAATAGTAAGTTTTTATCAGAGCTGGTTATCTATAAGTGTGTGTAGCACTTTCCCCTTGCCCTCGCACTTACCATGTGATGTGCAAGCACCGGATTTATTTTTCACCTTGTCAGTTTTCAGAGGCTTCCCCAGAAGCAGAAGCCAGTGCTATGCTTTCTGTACAGCCTGAAGAACCATGAACCAATTAAACCTATTTTCTTTATAAATTAACCAGTCACTGATTACTTTTTATAGCAATATGACAATGGCCTAATACATCCACCAAAAACTATTAGAAGTAATAACTTGAGTAAATTTGCAGAATTCAAAATCAACATATACAAATCAGTAGGATTTCTATATGCCAACAGTCAACAAACTGAAAAAGAATTCAAAAATGTAATACTATTTGCAGTAGCCACAAATAAAACAAAATGTGTGGGAATTTACCAAAGAAATAAAAGTTCTCAACAGTTAAAACTGTAAAACACTGATAAAAGAAATGAAAAAGGACCCAAAAATTGGAAAGATATTTTTATGTTCACAGATTGGAAGAATCTGTATTTTTAAAAAATGTCCATACAATCCATAACAATCTATACATTTCATGCCATCTCTATCAAAATAACAGGCTAGGGGCAGTGGCTCACGTCTGTAATCCCAGCACTTTGGGAGGCTGAAGTTGGTGGATCACGAGGTCAGGAGTTCAAGACCAGCTTGGCCAACTTGGTGAAACCCCACCTCTACTAAAAATACAAAAAAATTAGCCAGGCATGGTGGCGGGTGCCTGTAATCCCAGCTACTCAGGAGGCTGAGGCAAAGAATTGCTTGAACCCAGGAGGTGGAGGTTGTGGTGTGCAGGTGTAACATCACTGCACTCCAGTCTAGGTGATAGAGCAAGATGCAATCTAAAAAAAAAAGAAGAAGAAGAAGAAGACATTCCTCACAGATATAGAAAAAAAATTCTGAAATTTATATGGAAACATCACAAAACAGCATAATAGTCAAAGCTATGCTGAGTATATAAAACAAAACTGGAGGAATTCCATTACCTGTTTTTAAATTATACTACTAAGTTATAATAATTAAAACAGCATGACACTAGCATAAAAACAGACATAAAGACAGATGGAACGAAATAGAGACTTTAGAAACAAACTCATACAGCTGAATTAATTTTCAACAAAAGTGCCAAGAATATACAATAAAAAATAAGACAGTTTTTATAATAAATAGGGCTGGGAAAACTGGCATTCTGTGTGAGGGACAAACATTCAGACCCTCATAACAGTGTTCAGGAATCCTATGTGAGGGACAAACATTCAGACAACAGCAGGAGTGTTCTGGAATCCCCTGTGAGGAACAAACATTCAGACCCTTGTAGCAGTGTTCTGGAATCCTATGTGACAAACATTTAGAACCCAGCAGCAGTGTTCTGGAATCCTATGTGAGGGACAAACATTCAGACCCTCTTAGCAGTGTTCTGGAATCCTATGGGAGGAACAGCTAAATTAATTTTCAACAGAAGTATCAAGAACACACAATAAAAAATGAGACAGTTTTTGTAATGAATAGGGCTGGGAAAACTGGCAAGCCATAGGCAGAAGAATACAACTAGAACCCTATTTCTTGCCACTTACAAAAATCAAATTAAAATGAATTAAAGACTTAAACCTAACGCCTCAAACCATCAAACTTTTACAAGAAAACATTGGGGAAACTCTTTAGGGCATTGGTTTGGGCAAAAATTCCTCAAATAATGCCCTAGAAGCACAGACAACCAAAACAAACATGGACAAATGGGATTACAGAAAGTCAGAAAGCCTTTTTAAAGTGAAGGAAACAAGAAACAAAGTGAAGAGAAAATCCACAGAATGAGAGAAAATATTTGTAAATTATCCATCTGAAAAGCAGTTAATAGTTACATGATATGGTTAGGATTTGTGTCCCCACCCAAATCTCATATTGAATTGTAATCCCCAGATGTTGAGGGAGAGACTTGTTAGAAGGTGATTGGATCATGGGGGTGGTTTCCCCCATGCTGTTCTTCTGATAATGAGGGATTTCTCATGAGATCTGATGGTTTTATAAGGGACTCTTCCCCCTTTGCTTCACATACATGCTCTCTCGCCTGCTGTCATGTAAGAGGTGCCTGTTTCCCCGTCTGCCATTATTGTAAGTTTCCTGAAGCCTCCCCGGCCATGTGGAACTGTGAGTCAATTAAACCCATTTCCTTTATAAATTACCCAGTCTTGCCAGGTACGGTGGCTCATGCCTGTAATCTCCCCACTTTGGGAGGTTGAGTTGGGTGGATCACGAGGTCAGGAGTTCAAGACCAGCCTGGTCAAGATGGTGAAACCCCGTCTCTACTAAAAATACAAAAATTAGCCAGGCATGGTGGCAGGTGCCTGTAATCTCAGCTACTCAGGAGGCTGAGGCAGAGAATTGCTTGAATCAGGAGGTGGAGGTTGCAGTGAGCCGAGATTACACCACTGCTCTTCAGCCTGGGCAAGAGACCAAGACTTCATCTCAGTAAATAAATGGATAACACAGTCTCAGGTTTTTTTTATAGCAGTGCAGAAACAGACTAATACACTACAATATATTGAGTTCAAGAAATTCTATACAAAAAAGTAATAAATACAGAGTGGACAAAAAATTTAAATAGACATTTATGAAGAGAAGACATACAAATGTGAAACAGGCAAATGAATAGGTGCTCCACATTACTGATCATCATAGAAATGAAAATCAAACCCAAAATGAGATATCATTTCACCCCAGTTAAGGTGGCTTTTATCCAGAAGTCAGTGAAAAACAAATGCTGGTGAGTATGTGGAGTGAAGGGAACCCTCGTACACTGCTGTTGGGAGCACATTTAAGGACAGTTTGGATGTTCCTGATATAACTAAAAATAGAGCTACTATGTGGTCCAGCAATCCCACTGCACAGTATATGCCTACAAGAAATAAAATTGGTAAATCAAAGACCTATTGGCACTCTCATGTTTGCCACAGCAGGGTTTATAATAGCCAAGATTTGGGAGGAACCTAAATGTCCATCAACAGATGACTGGATAGAGAAAATGTGGTACATATACACAATGGAGTACTATTCAGCTGTAAGAAAGAATGAGAGCCTGCCATTTGCAATAACATAAATGGAACTGAAAGTCTTTATGTTTGTGAAAGTCTTTATGTTTATGAAAGTGAAATGTCAGGCACAGAAAGACAAATGTCCCATGTTCTCACTTATTTGTGGGTGCTAAAATTCAAAACAATTGGTGTCATAGAGATAGAGAGTATAAGGATGGTTACCAGAGGCTGGGAAGGGCAGGGAGGAAACAAGGGGATAGTGGGATGCTAAATGGGTAAAAAAAAACAATTGTTAGAAAGAATGAATAAGACAGCATTTGAAAGCATAACAGGGTGATTATAGTCAAAAATAATTTAATTCCACATGTAAAAAAACTAAAAGAGTATAATTGGATTGTTTATAACACAAGCTATAAATGCTTGAGGGGACAGATACCCCGTTTTTTATTATGTATTACTCATTGCATGACTGCATCAAAGTATGTTATGTACCCCCATAAATATATACAACAACTATGTACCCACAAAAATAAATTAAAAATTGAAATTTAAATTAAAATTAAAACCAAAGGGAGGAGAGTATAATGAGGCATGTGTGAACCATGGCTTGAACTAGCTTTTCAGGTTAACTTTGGAATTTGCTTATCCAAGAAGAGAGGTCCATTTAGTCAACAGGGGTTTAGAAATTTTTTTTTTATTCTATAAATGGAAAAAAGAAGGATTTTTAATCCTGAGCCATAGTTCTCAGTCAATCAATCCCTGCAAAGAACCCTATTCTTTACTCTGGAGATGAACATTAGTTTTCTTTTCCATGGAATAACACCACATTTCAAAATGAGGGGAAACATCTTGAAACTAAGAGGTAGAGCATTATTCAATTTGATTTGGTTTCCATTGTAATTAATTTAATCACATGTGTTCTAGACTTTGTCCTCAGTCTTCCCCTAGTTCAGGCCCATGATCTGTTGAATTTGCTCAGCTCCCTGCTCAACAGCAGGAAATCAGAATTATTGAAAAACCTCATTGTGGCTGGGAGTGGTGGCTCATGCCTGTAATCCTAGCAATTTGGGAGGCCAAGGTGGGCAGATCGCTTGTTGTCAGGGGTTTGAGACCAGCCTGGCCAACAGAGTGAAACCCCATCTCTACTAAAGATACAAATATTAGCTGGGTGTGGTGATTCATGCCTGTAATCCCAGCTACTTGGGAGGCTGAGGCAGGAGAATTGCTTGAACCCGGGAGGCGCAAGTTTCAGTGAGCCAAGTTGGTGCACTGCACTCCAGCCTGGGCAACAGAGCAAGAGTCTGCCTCAAAATGATTAATAATAATAATAATAATAACAAAAAATAAGTAAAAATAAAAATCTCATTTTGTTTCAAACAAAATTTCTTTTGAATATCAACTGTACCAACCTGCATATTAACTATAATCATTTTGTTTATTTTATATCTAATCTTGAGAAATCTTTGAGGACTAATTTCACTCTTTTCTGCCATTTTGGAAAACATACCAAATGCCATCAAACAAAATGCACAAAATTCCTGAGAAATACATTTTCTCCTTGAGGAGTAGACTTGCTCTGTTAGAGGAACTCAAGGTTACCTAGTTTCTAGTTTAATAAACTTGACTAGAATATTCTATCTTAATATGAGTAGCTAGGTATTCACAAGGCATCTAGAAGGTTAATGTTCATGGTCTGAAAATAGTCACATTTTTTACCTGGTCACCAATTACAATTGCAGAATATTTGTGGTCATACAAGACATCTTCCACCAAGCCTGAAAAATGTATAAATGTCCTAGGAGTGCAGCATTTTTTGTAAGGATATTATTAATGAAGTAGCTTAGGTCAATAGGTTAATGGTTATTGTTAAAAACAATAGCCCCGACTTTAGTGACTACATCTGCACCTTCCAAATTTAATTATAACTCTTTCTCTTTATAGTTATTTATAAGTAGAGACACTAACAAAAGACAATGCATTCCTCCTCTTGTTTTCTGAGGATGTCCAACTCTGTAATGGAGTAATTTCTAATAAACTTGCTTCTTTCACTGTGCTCTCTGACTCACCTCAAATTTTTTACTGCACAAGATCTAAGAATCCTACTTTGTGGTCTGTATCAGGACCCTCTTTTCCAGCAACATCTTTCAGCAACACCATGAACGGACACCAAGACAAGACCCTCACTCCAAGGAAAACAATCCACACAGAATCAATCAGCTGACACCTGGCAAGTGGGCTGTCTTTTAGAGTCGTGAAGCCATTCTGGTGAGCAAGAATGATTATCCACTATTATCATACTCAAATTAGAGGCCAAGCCCACAGGGTTAGAGGCCCTGGGAATATTGAGAAGAATGGATTTGGCTAAACAAGATATTTGCCACTTTCTCTTTTTGGACTGTCCACCTTGTGCTCTCTGTCCCTCACCTGAGTGCTCTACATATTGTCACCTTTCTGCTCACCACCTCTGTTTTGTAGTAGCCTGGAGGCTGCCCCAGGACAGAGGCCCCAAAGAGTTTAGCTTTTACTTTCCTCTGCGATCCTCTGACTCTTAACTGACTGTTTGTTTAATTTGCCACTGGTCCAAGTGACACTGAAAAAAAGAATTGTCTTGGAACCTAGTATTTTTTTACCTTAACAATCAGGAAAGATCAGCAGTAACCTTGCCATCATTATGACTAGAAGTTGAAATGTGGTATTTAAGAGCTCTACATGATAAGATCAGATATGCCTGTTTAGTGGCAGCCTCTTCTATGACAACCCTCTGCAAACAATTACCCTCAAGATGGAGAACATGAGGGTTTTTCTTAACAGTTTTCTCTCATTTCTTAACCATAAATGCATCTTTGATGAGCTGGTATAGGGCAGCTGGACCCTACTTTCTAAACCCAGCATGTCATTTTTTTTCTGAGAGAGTTTTGTCAGTTTTGCCATAGCAGTGTGAAAGTGGACTAATACATTACAATATACAAGCTACAGCCTTCCCATTTCCCCTGTTTGATCTGATTCCTATTTTGCAGCTTAATTTGTTTCATAGAAGAGAAACTAAGAGGGAGGAAATACATTATATACAGGCTTCTCTGATGCTTGGTCAGGATAAAAAATTAAAATGGGCTTCTATATGTTTGATGGAGGAAAAGACAAAATAGGGACAACACGTAATTGATTACCCTTTTAATGCAAGTACCTCTTAATATTAGGCTTTTCTTAGCTGGGGCTGAACTCCCCCTGCCAGTCCAAGCACCCCATAAGAACACAATGAGACTCCTTCCAGTTCTGGTGAGGTGTGCAACATGTTATTAATTTCTTCTAGTTTTCCAGGGTTATCTAGTGTCCAGTCATCATCTTCTCCCTGCCCTTTGAGTCCTGTCTTACGTACACACCCCACTCTCGAAACACCCGAACTTCACCAGAACAACATGCAGTGGGGCCTCTTATCAGCTAGCAAAGCTGAATGTTTGCCCTCTCTGGGAAGTGACAGATGATAATAGGGACACTATATTGAAGGGGTGGCCTGTCCCTCCACACCTGTGGGCGTTTCTCCTCAGGTGGAACAAGAGACTTGTGAAGAGTCTCAGAGACAAAGTATAGAGAAAAAGTGGGCCCAGGGCATCGGCGCTTACCATATGGAGGACCCGCGGCGGCACCAGTCTCTGAGTTTCCTTAGTACTTATTGATCATTATGGGGCATTTCTCGGAGAGAGGGACGTGGCAGGACAATAGGGTAATAGTGGAGAGAGTGTCAGCAGGAAAACATGTGAGCAAGTGCCTCTGCATCGTAAACAAGGTAAAGAAAAAAGTGCTGTCCTTTTGATGTGCATATACATAAACATCTCAATGCCTTAAAGAGCAGTATTGCCTCCAGCATGTCTCACCTCCAGCCCTAAGGCAGTTTTCTCTTATCTCAGTAGATGGAATATACAATCGGGTTTTACACTGAGACATTCCATTGCCCAGGGACGAGCAGGAGACAGATGGGTTTGTCTTATATCAACTGCAAAGAGGCCTTCCTCTTTTATTAATCCTCCTCAGCACAGACCATTTACAGGTGTCGGGCTGGGGGATGGTCAGGTCCTTCCCTTCCCACGAGGCCATATTTCAGAATATCACATGCGGAGAAACCTTGGACAATCCCTGGCTTTCCTAGGCAGAGGTCCCTTTGGCCTTCCGCACTGTTTTGTGTCCCTGGGTACTTGACAGTAGGGAGTGGTGATGACTTTTAACAATCATGCTGTCTTCAAGCATTTGTTTAACAAAGCACATCCTGCATATCCCTAAATCCATTAAACCTTGAGTCGACACAGCACATGTTTCTGTGAACACAGGGTTGGGGGTAGGGTTACAGATTAACAGTATCTCAAGGCAGAAGAATTTTTCTTAGTACAGAATAAAATGGAATGTCTTATGTCTACTTCTTTCTACATAGACAAAGTAACAGTCTGATCCCTCTTTCTTTTCCCCACGCTATATAGGTATATGTACCCTTTTCTACATCTGAATTAGCCATATGCAGGGAAAAACTAAAACACTTTTCAGAAGTTCCGGGAAAATTCATAGAAAAATTTAAGAGGCTAACCTTGATGTATGATCTGACCAGGCAAGATTTGCATATATTTATGTTTACCTGCTGCATGGTAGAAACACAGTGCATTATGGAAGTGACTAGAGCACATGCTAATAGGGTGGCAGCCTGCAACCAGGGACAAGACACCTATCAAATAGGAGGCATAGCAGTGCCTGACTAGGACCCAAAAGAACTAGAATCTAGAAAAGACAAATGAATTAGGAAGAAAGTGGGATATAGAGAGAAAAAATTATGATCATTTGACTCCTTGAAGGAATAAAAAAAAGTGTGATAAAGCTTTTTAATTTTTATAAAGTCTGGAAAATTACTCAGGGAAAAGATGAAAACCTAGCCTTATTACAAGGGTGGATAATTTAGACCTTGAGGAGATACACTAACACTGACCCTGACTCCAAGAAGGGACAAGCATTGCTAGGAGTTTATTTTATAGACTGATCTGCTTCTGATATCTATAGAAAGCCACCAAAAGCAGCCTTAGGCTGCCAGACTCCATGGATCAGATTTTAGACTTGGATTTTGCAGCTTTCCATCACAGGAATAGGGCCAAGCAAATATAAAATAAAGCAAATCTTCCAAGAGACCCAGCTTCTAGCTGCAGCCTTGTGCTCTCCACCACTTCAGAGGCAGCCCCTTAACCCCTGGCTCTCACAGAGGAAGTGAGAAGGTAAAAGTCTCAGTCTGTGCCTCTGGGCCACTGTGCCTTGGATATAAATCAATGTGCCTTCTGTAGGAAGGTCGGCCACTGCCGAAGGAAATGCACCGTGCTTCCAAGGGAGCCATCATCAGAGCCCAGCAGACTCAAAACTGGGAGGGCCTGATACTTCCTACCTCCGCTCCCATTGGACTATTAGCTATCGAGAGGTGGAGGAGCCTCAGGTGACTCTTGAAGTAGCAGGTAGGAGTATTAACTTCATATTAGGTATGGGAGCAGATTACTCTGTACTGATTCAATACAATGGGCTCCTGTATTCTCATGATGGACAAGCCCAAAATCACTGCTTTTCCTATCTTCTAAGTTGTCCTCCAGAGCCTCTAGGTTTCTCGCCTGCCTTTTTAGTATTGTCTGATTGCCTGACCTCTTACTGGGGAGAGGTTTGTTGACTCAGGAGACCAAGTCATGGTCACCTTCACAGATCATAAAGCATAGAAAGTGTTACTTTTGTTCCTGACCCCTCAGGGGAAAAAAGAAGTTAAGAATGAGCTGTCACATTTATCACCTGAGGTGTTGTCTCAAGTAAATCTTGAGGTTTGGGCAACACAGACTCTGGGAAACACACTAAACACCTCCCCCATTCAAATCCAACTTCAGCCTAGTGCTCCTCGCCCTCAGAAGAGACAATACATTTTAAGGTGAGAAGCATGAGGGGAAATTCAATGCCTTATTGCCAAATTCTTGCCATATGAGTTATTAAGGCCATGAGAGTCTCCTTACAATACTCGCATGTTACCAGATAAAAAGCCTAATGGCAAGTACAGATTTGTCAGAACGCTTAGAGCATTAAGAATGCAGTTGTCTCCATACAACTCATTGTCCCCAATACTTACCAAGTCCCAGGGAATGTAAGCTGGTTTACATTCCTAAATCTGAAAGATGCACTTTTCTGGATCTCAATGCATCCAGATTCATAATATGTTTGCCTTTGAATGGACTGACCCAGATATCCATTCAGCCTCAAAACTAACCTGGACAGTCATCTCTGAAGGGTTCTGGGATAGCCGACATAACCTTTAAAGGCTGCCAAACCATAAACCCAGCAACTTATGGGCCAGAGTCTCCAGGTGCTTCTAGCCTTCCTGGCATACAGATTGTATTAGTCTGTTTTCATGCTGCTAATAAAGACATATCTGAGGCTGGATAATTTACAAAGAAAAGAAGTTTCATTGACTCACAGTTCCACATGGTCAGAGGCCTCACGCTCATGGCAGAAGGCAAATGAGGAGCAAAGTCACATCTCTTACATGGTAGCAGGCAAAAGGGCTTGTGTAGGGAAACTCCCCTTTATAAAACCATCAGCTGTAATCCCAGCACTTTGGGAGGCCAAGGCAGTGGATGACCAGCCTGGCCAACATGGTGAATCCCCGTCTATACTAAAAGTACAAAAATTAGACAGGCTGGTGGTAGGCACCTATAATCCCAGCTACTCGGGAGGCTGAGACAGGAGAATCGCTTGAACCCAGGAGTCAAAGTTGCAGTGAGCCAAGGTCCTGATAATGCACTCCAGCTTGAGCAACAGAGCAAGACTATGTCTCAAAAATAAATAAATAAATAAATAAATAAACCATCAGATCTCATGAGACTTATTCACTGTCACGAAGACAGCATGGGAAAGACCCATCCCCCGATTCGATTACCTCCCACTGGATCCCTCCCACGATATATAGGAATTATGTGAGCTACAATTCAAGATAAGATTTGACTGGGACACAGCCAAAGCCTGTCACAGGTTATGAAACACATTTATTCTAGCGGGCCAGACTTAAGAGAGATGAGCCCCTTGACCATCCCAAGGAAGAGTGGTTAACAGATGTATGTTGTTTTATACATCAGGAAAACAGGAGTGGTAGATATGCTATTAGTAGTCAGCACAAGAGAATCAAGGCATAAGTCTTGCTGGCCTCTACCTCAGCACAAAAAGCTGAGTTAATTGAACTTACTCAGCCCCTGCAGTTGGGAAAGGATTTAAAAGTTAACATTTACACTGATTCCAAGTATGATTTTTTAGTGCTTCATACTTATGCTGCAATTTGGAATGGGTAGGGACTCCTGACCCCCAAGGGCTTTTCCATACAACATCATTCAGATTTTGAGCTTGTTTGAATGCTGCTTTGCTGCCAAAAAGTGAGTATAATTAATTGCAGATGACTTCAAAAGAGAGACTGACCATGTAGAAGGAAATGTCCTTGCAGATGTCGCAGCCAAGGCCCCTGCACTGAAAAGGCCAATGAAGCTTATGGGTGTGCTGGTCAGCATACATTGAACTGAGTCAGAACACTCTGAAGAAGAACAAAAATGGGCCAGGGATTGCATTTCAGTCCAGGGTCCCTCTGGCTGGCTGAATGATAGTAATAAATTACTAATGCCAAATACCAACCATAGGAATATAATTCAGCACTTTCATGATTCTTTTCACCCTAGAAGGGATTCTTGGTTTCCGTTAATGTCTCATTTGTTTATAGGGGTAAATCTTTTCAATACACCAAAACAGGTGACTCAGCCCTGTGAGCTCTGTGCCTGACATGACCCAAAAGGCTAGCAATTTTCTCCTTCTCCAGGTAAAACTGTCCAAAGTTGAGGAACCTATCCAGGTGAGAACTGGCAACTCTAATTTACTCAGATACCTTTCTGCAGGAGATTCAAATATTTGCTAATTCTTATTGATACCTTCATTGGTTAGATCGAGGCATTCCCCACCCCATCTGAAAAATGTTTACCAGAAGAAATAACTCCTCAGTTTGGGTAATCCAAAAGCCTGCAAAGTGGCAATGGCCCGTCTTTCACAGCAGGTGTATCCCAACACTTATCCTCAGCTTTAAGAATCCAATATTACCTTCACTCTGTATGCAGACCGCAGTCCTCTGGAAAGGTGAAAGGGCTAATCCTACTCTAAAGAAGACTCTAGCTAAATCAGACGCCTGACTATCTCTAACACCCATAGCTTACTGCGGGTTTGAACTGCTCCAAAGTAAAACTTATAATTAAATCCTGTTGAGTTAACATTCGGAAGACCTTTCCTAAGCACAGATCTCCTAATAGATGAAAAGACTCATCAATTACAAAAATATGTCATCAATCTAGGACAAGTGCGAAGACACTCTGTGAATATGGATACAAGAGTCTTCCCCTCCCACATGGGAGGAAAATTCAGTTTCAGCTCAGCTAGGGATTTAGTCTTACTAAAGATGTGGGAGGAAGTTCTCCAGCTGACCAGCTTTCCCCAACATGGAAAGGACCACAGCAAGGACACGTGAGCTCTCCAACAGACGTTCAACGCCAAGGGATTCACAGGTGGGTACACCTGTGTGGAAGTAAAGCTGTTACTTATTCTTGGAGCCGAATCCGAGGCTGAGGGAGGTGGGCGCCGGGCTATTTCAGCGTTGGTGGAGTGTGGGCTGGGTAGCTGCGCGTCTGCTACTCCTTCTCGCGTTTCTCCTGCCGCTGTAATCCCGCCTTGGCCATGAGGGAAATCGTGCTCACGCAGGCCGGGCAGTGAGGGAACCAGATCGTCGCCGAGGTTGTATTTGACTCCATAAAAATTAAAATTTTGTATGAGAGAAAAATGTCTCAAAGTCAAAGTCAACAGACTGGGGAAATAGATCTGCAACATACCTGACAGACAAAAAGCTAATTTGGGATATATATATATACACATATAAATATATATATATATACATATAAAAATATATACATATAAATATATATATACATATAAATATATATATACATATAAAAATATATACATATAAATATATATATACATATAAATATATATACATATATATACATATAAATATATAGATAGATAGATGTAAATATCCGTTTTTAACACCATTTAAAAAAATACTGTCCTTTCCCCATTGAACAGTGTTGACGCCCTTGTTAAAAATCATGACCATATTTTTTGGTTCTTTATTTCTATTGCATTGGTCTTTGTGTCTGTCTCTATGCTGGTACAGCATTGTTTTGCATACTGAAGTTTGAAACCAGGAGGTGTTAGTCCTCTAACTTTGTTAGATTTTAAGATTGATTTGGCTGCTTGGGGTTTTTTGAGATTTCATCTGAATTTTAGAACAGGTTTTTCTATTTTTGCAAATATTGGAATGTTTGCAGTGATTTTATTGAATCTGTAGATGACTATAGATAACAATGGCACCTTGACAAGATTTTGTCTTCCAGTCCATAAACACATGATGTCTTTTCATTTATTTGTGTCATCTTTAATACTTTCATGCCATGTTTCTAGTTTTTGCTGTACAGGTTTTTCATTTCCTTGGTTAAGTGGGTTTCTAAGGATTTTATTCTTTTGATGCTATCATACATGATACCGTTGTCTTGATTTCTTCTTCAGACAGTTTATTGTTATTGTAGAAATACAACTGATTTTTGTGTATTATTTTGTATCCTTCAGCTTTGCTGAATTTTATTTATTGCATCTGACAGTTTATTTCACAGAAACTAAAAGATTTTTAATATATAAGTTTATGTCATCTGCAAACAGATAATTTTATTTTTAAAAAATTGGAATATCTTTAATTCTTTTACTCACCTTGTTGTTTTAACTAACTAGAACCTTCAGTATTATACTAAATAGCAGTAGTAAAAGCATGCATCCTTGTTTTTGCTCTTAGGGTAAAAGCTTTCAGTCTTTCACCATGTTAGCTGTGTTTTTTTTGTTTTGTTTTGTTTTTTGTATAACATTATGTTAAGGTGTTTTCTTTCTTTTTATAGTTTATTAAGTATATTTTGTCATGAATCTGCATTAAATTTTGACAAATGCTTTTTCTTCTTTGCTTAAGATGATTACATGAGGGTTTTTTCCTTATGTTAATGTGATATTATGCTGATTTTCATGTGCTGTAACATACTTTCATTTCAGGAGTCAATTATACTCATTCATAGTCTATAATCCTTTTAATGTACTGCTAAGTTTGAGTTGCTGGTATTTTGTTGAGGATTTTTGCATCAGCATGTATAAGGGATGTTTGTAGTTTTCTTATGGTGCCTTTGTCTGGCTTGGTGTCAGGGTAATACTGGCCTCATAGAATAAGTTAGAAAAAACTACCTCCTCTTCAACGTTTTGAAAAAGTTTGAGAAGAAGCGGTGTTAATTCTGCTTTAAACATTGGGTAGAATTCAACAGTGAAACCATCTGGTCCAGGCTTTTCTTTGTTGCTGGGTTTTTGATTACTGATGCAATCTTCCTGCTGAATCTCCTTGCTGAATAGGTTTATTCAACTTTTCTGTTTCAGTCTTAGTAGGTTTTTTGTTTCTAGGAATTTGTTCATTTTATTTAGGCTATTCAATTTTTTAGTATATAGTCCCTTATGGTACTCTCCTACACCCCTTTTTTACTCCAAAAATTTGTTAGTAATGTACCCATTTTATTTTTGAGTTTAGTAATTTGAATATTCCCTTTCTTTCTTAGTTAATCTAGATAAAATTTTGTCAGTTTTGATCTTTTTCAGAGAAGAAACTAGGTTGTGTTGATTTTTGATATTGTTTTTCTATTCTCTATTTCACTTATTTCCACTGCTATCTTTATCTTTTTTTTTAATTTTGCTAGCTTTTAGTTGTCCCTCTTTAATAGTCCCTCTTTTTCTCTCTGTTTTTAGTTCCTTAGGAGTAAAGTTGTTGATTCAGTATCTTATTTTTTATAATCATTTATAGCTATAAATTTTTCCCTTATGGTACCGTTTTTGATGTATCTCTTAACTTTTGGTATTTCATGTTTTTAATTTGTCTCTAGATATTTTTTCTTTTCTCTTGTGATTTCTTCCTTTATCCATTCTTGAGTGTTTCATACCTATATTTTTAGACATAAAATATGTAACCTACAATATTTTCCTGATTTGTTAGTTTTATTTGTTGTAAGTTTTTATTTCAGAATTAAATGTGCATATCAACATTTGTTATGTTCTCATAAACTTTGTAATACATGGAGATTCCTGGTCCACATATGTAAGTCTCTACATGAATATTATTTTGAAGCATTTAACCTTCTATTTTAATATTTCAAAGGTCTAAATGAAATTGAGATTTTGGTTTCTGAGATGAAATCATGGCAGGTGACTGAGAAATGCTTAAAAATTAGCCAAAACTTAAAATTAAGTTAAAGTTTACCTTCAATATTCAACCTGAATAAGTCGCCCTGTATTGCTGGTAGTAAAGAATAAGTCTTTAATGATATAAAAGGAAACTTCAGAGAATGTTTTTTTTTTCCCCAGTTGACATATAGATTAAAAGATATAAAAAATTGTTATGGCCTTATGCATTTTTTACTTTAGAATTCCAACTTTTTCTGGTTAACATTTTTCCAAACAGATTCCTGTGTATTTGAAAGACTAATAATTTTTTAGTTGAACTGCTTAAGCAGTTAAATAAGGCCATGATAGTTTCTTGAACTTGTGGGAATCCATGAGAAAATCTGACATTATGTTCTATTCTCTTGGAAGATAGAAATATCGTTTGACTTCTATTTTGCTGACAAGAAATGTCCTGAGCAAGGCTACCTGGGACAATGACCTCACACATGGAAAACATTGGAGCCCATCTCTTTCCAATCTGCTGTTTTCCAAAAATTAGGGAAGTTCAGTTTTCCCTTTGATACTCTCTGTTACTACCAATCCCAATGCCAGGGCTGTCCTGCTTCTACAAGTGACAATGACAAATATAGGCCTGAAGAAAGATGAGCTGATGGCATTCCCAGCTTATTACCTCTCCTTGGGGGCCTTATCTCACATACATGGATTCAACTCATAGACTCAGCTGGGTGAGGATCTATTATTCAGCTACATTAGAAGTGACTACTTAAGACTCAGGTGTGTGGTGAAATGAGGCAGAATTTTCTCTATGGAGTGTTGGGAGAATTTTCTCCTCATAATTACCATCTTACTATCACTAAGTCATAACTAAAATCAGGAAATTATTCAAGAAGAAATAGAAATATAATCTTATGAGGACATAAATTTAGAGATTTGTGGAGAGCTCTTCATAATTTTATGCTGTTCTCTTTCAGCTGGGAGTATAGTTGACATTTCATTATAATATATTAGCTGTTCTAGACTTTATGCATTTATGTAAAGTTTTCTTTGTTGTACTTTAAGTTCTATGATACATGGGCAGAGCATGCAGGTTTGTTACATAGTTATACATGTGCCATGGTGGTTTGCTGCACCCATCAACCCGTCATCTACATAGGTATTTCTCCTAACGCTATTCCTCCCCTAGTCTCCCACCCCATGACAGGCCCCAGTGTGTGATGTTCCCCTCCCTGTGTCCATGTGTCCTCATTGTTCAACTCCCACTTATGAGTGAGAACATGCAGTGTTTGGTTTTCTTTTCTCTTTTTCTTTCTCTCTCTCTCTTTTTTTTTTTTTTTGAGACAAATTTTCACTCTTGTTGCCCAGGTTGGAGTGCAATGGCGTGATCTCGGCTCACCACAACCTCTGCCTCCTGGGTTCAAGCGATTCTCCTGCCTCAGCCTCCCAAGTAGCTAGGATTACAAGTATGTGCCAATATGCCTGGCTAATTGTTTGTATTTTTAGTAGAGATGGGGTTTCTCCATGTTGGTCAGGCTGATCTCAAACTCCCCACCTCAGCCTCCCAAATTTCTGAGACTACAGGCATGAGTCACTGCTCCTGGCCTGGTTTTCTTTTCTTGTGTTAGTTTGCTGAGAATGATGGTTTCCAGCTTCAGCCCTGTCCCTGGAAAGGACATAAATGCATAGTATTCCGTGGTGTATATATGCCACATTTTCTTTATCCAGTTTATCATTAATGGGCATTTGGGTTGGTTCCAAGTCTTTGCTATTGTGAACAGTGCTGAAATAAACATACAGTGCTGAAATAAACATACAGTTCATGTGTATTTATAGTATAATAATTTATAATGCTTTGGGTATATACCCTATAATGGGATTGCTGGGTCAAATGGTATTTCTGGTTCTATATCTTTGAGGAATTTTCACACTGTCTTCCACAATGACTGAACTAATTTACACTCCTACCAACAGTGTTAAAGCATTCCTGTTTCTCCACAGTCTCATCAGCATCTGCTGTTTCCTGACTTTTTAATAATCGCCATTCTAACTGGAATGAGATGGTATCTCATTGTGGTTTTGATTTGTGTTCATCTAATGACCAGTCGTGATGAGCTTTTTTTCATATGTTTGGTGGCCGCGTAAATATCTTCTTTTGAGAAGTGTCTGCTCGTTTCCTTTGCCCACTTTTTGATGGGGCTGTTTTTTTCTTGTAAATTTGTTTAAGTTCTTTGTATATTCTGGATATTAGCCCTTTGTCAGACAGATAGATTGCAAAAATTTTATCCCAATCTGTAGGTTGTCTGTTCACTCTGATGATAGTTTATTTTGCTGTGCAAAAGCTCTTTACTTTAATTAGATCCCATTTGTCAATTTGGGCTTTTGTTGCCATTGCTTTTGGTGTTTTAGTCACAAAGTCTTTGCCCATGCCTATGTCCTGAATGGTATTGCCTAGGTTTTCTTCTATGGTTTTTATGGTTTTAGGTCTTATGTTTAAGTCTTTATTCCATCTTGAGTTATTTTTTGTATAAGGTATAAGGAAGATGTCCAGTTTCAGTTTCTGCATATGGCTAGCCAGTTTTCCCAACATGATTTATTAAATAAAGAATCCCTTCCCCATTGCTTGTGTTTGTCAGGTTTGTCAAAGATCAGATGGTTGTATGTGTATGGTCTTATTTCAGAGTTCTGTATTCTGTTTCATTGGTAGTTTTTGTACCAGTACCATGCTGTTTTGGTTACTGTAGCATTATAGTGTAGTTTGAAGTTGGGTAGTGTGATACCTCCAGCTTTGTTCTTTTTGCTTAGAATTGCCTTGGCTATTTGGGCTCATTTCTGGTTCATGAGAATTTTAAAATAGTTTCTTCTAATTCTGTGAAGAATGTCATTGGTAGTTTAATGGGAATAGTATTGAATTCCTTTATAAATTACTTTGGGCAGTATGGACATTTTCAGGAATGAATTCTTCCCTATCCATGAGCATGGAGTGCTTCTCCATTTGTTTGTGTCCTATCTGATTTCTCTGAGCAGTGGTTTGTAGTCCTCCTCGAAGAGGTTCTTCACTTCTCTTGTTAGCTGTATTCCTATGTATTTCATTCTCTTAGTAGCAATTGTGAATGAAGTTCATTCCCGATTTCGCTCTCTACTTGCCTGTTGTTTGTGTATAGGAATACTAGCAATTTTTGCACACTGATTTTGTATCCTGAGATTCTGTTGATGTGGTTTATCAGCTTAAGAAGCTCTTGGGCTGAGATGATGGGGTTTTCTAGATACAGGATCATGTCATCTGCAAACAAAGATAATTTGACTTCATCTCTTCCTATTTAAATACTGTTATTTATTTTTCCTGCCTGATTGCCCTGGCCAGAAATTCCAGTACTACGTTGAATAAGAGTGGTGAGAGAGGCCATCCTTTTCTTGTGCCAGTTTTCAAGGGGAATGCTTCCAGCTTTTGCTCATTCAGTATGATATTGGCTGTGGGTTTATCATATATGGCTCTTATTATTTTGAGGTGTGATCTTTCAATACCTAGTTTATTGAGAGTTTTTAACATGAAGGGATGTTGAATTTTATTGAAGGCCTTTTCTGCATCTATTGAGATAATCGTGTTGTTTTTGTGTTTAATTCTGTTTTTGTGATGAACTACATTTATAGATTTGCCTGTGTTGAACCAACCTTGTATCCCAGGGATGAAGCCATCTTGATCATAGTGGGCCAAGGTACCCTTATCAGTCTTAAGTTCAGTCTTTTTACATAATCCCATTTTTTTTTGAAGGTTTTGTTGTTCTTTCTTTTTTATTCTTCTTTCTCTATTCTTCTCTTCCTGTCTTATATCAGATAGACAGTTTTGAAGCTCTGAGATTCTTTCCTCCACTTGGCCTATTCTGTGAGTGATAGTTGTGGTTGCGTTGTGAAGTTCTCATGTTGTGTTTTTCAGATCCATCATGTCAGTTATGTTTCTCTCTAAACTGAATATTCTGGTTATCAGCTACTGTGTTCTTTTATGATTTTTAGCTTCTTGCATTAAGTTAGAACGTGCTCCTTCAGCTCAGAGAAGTTTGTTATTACCCACCTCCTAAAGCCTACTTTTGTCAATTCAGCCATCTCAGCCTTGGGTCAGTTCTGTGCCCTTGCTGGGGAGGTGTTGTTGTCATTTAGAGGAGAAGAGGCTTTCTGCCTTTTTGAGTTTTCTGCGTTTTTGTGTTGATGCTTTCTCATCTTTGTGGGCTTATCTACCTTTGATCTTTGACGTTGTTGACTTTTGAACGGAGTTTTTATGGGTTTTTTGTTGATGTTGTTGTTGCTTTCTGTTTGTTTTTAACAGTCAGACCACTCTTCCCTAGGGCTAGGGCTGCTGTGGTTTTTGAGCATCCACTCTGGACCCTAGTCACCTCAGTCTCTCCTGCACCTGGAGGTATCACCAGTGAAGGCTGCAAAACAGCAAAGATGGCAACCTGATCCTTCCTCTGGGAGCACCAGTCCAAGGGGGTACTGACTTGATGCCAGCTGGAACGCTCCTGTAGGAGGTGTCTGGTGACCCCTGTTGGGAGGTCTCACCCAGTCAGGAGGAACAGGATCAGGGACTGCTTAAAGAAGCAGTCTGGCTGCCCTTTGGCAGAGCAGGTGTGTTGTTCTGACCCCCAGGAATCTGCAGAGCCAGCAGGCTGGAAAGGTTCAGTTGGCTGAACTGGGGAGACAGCAGCTACCCTTCTCTCTGGGGACTTCATCCCAGGGAGAAATCAGAGTTCTGTCCATAGAACTCCAGCTGGAGTTTCTAAAATTCTGATGGGGAGGCCCTGTCCAGTGAGGATGGATGGATTTTGGTCTCACTTAAAGAAGCAGCCTGGCCACGATCAGTCACAACAGCTGTACTGTGTTATAGGGGACTCCTCCTGGTCCCTGGTGCCAGCAGGCTAGAGCGGCCAACTCAAACCACAGATAGAGCCGCTGCCCCTCCCCCTGAGAACTCGGTCCACCTCCGGCTATCTCCAGCCTGCTGCCACTGGCCAGCTGGAATTCCAAGCCAATGGGTCTTGTGAGGTGCTGTGGGAGTGGGGCCTCAGAATGATGTCACTTGGCTCCCTGGATTCAGCCCCCTTCCTAGGGGAATGCACAGATGTATCTCTCGCTTTGCTGGAATTCTCGGGGCAGAGTATGCAAAATTCCTGGGTTTCCATGCATGCCCCAGTAAGCCAGCGAGCACTCCGCTGAGACTCCACACAGCTCTGTGCTTCAGACCCAAGGCCGTGGTGGCTGAGCTCATGAGGTGACCTCCTCATCTGCAGGTTGCAAAGATCCATGGGAGAAGCATGGTTTCCCGGGCAGAGTCGAACAATCACTCATGGCCTCCCTTGCCTGCAAGTGGGGGCTCGGCTAGCCACACCTGTGTGGGTCATTGACCCACTTGTTTTTCCTGACTCTCTGTGGGTCGAGCTGTCTGCCTAGTCAGTTCCAATGCAAGAACCTGAATACCTCAATTGAAGGTGCAGAATTCACTCACAGTTCTCATTGCTCTCTGTGAGAGCCATGAGACACAGTTGCTTCTAATCGGCCAGTTTGGCCCCATCTAAAGTATGATTTCTTAATACATGAGATGTTTTAAATACATAACAATAATGATATTTATCACAAATATATTTTGTCTCAATGTGATATACAAATTGCTAATAAATCAATTATTTTTTGGTTACCACAAAGCTATCTGGAAATGTAACGTCTGGCATTTATAAAATTTTTGTAAAGCTAATAGAACTTTACTTGAAGGGAGACTGGCAATATGCATCATGACTTCAAGCACTGCCAGTGATGTGGAGTTTGAAGTGGTACTCACATCTTGTTACTGGGATTATAAATTAGTAGAAACTATATCAATTGTGATTAAACAATATATACCAAAATTATAAATGGAAATACTCTCTGATTCAGCAATTTCATTTCCAGAAATTTACCCTACAGACATACTCATGATGCCTGGAATTATGTATGAATGGGAGAAAGTATTATACCACCTTTTTAATTAACAAAAGTCTAGAAATCACTTTAATGTTTATCAATCACATTAATGATTAACACCTTACTGTTTATTGAAATTATGGTTATTCATATGATAGACTACTACACAGCTATTTAAAAAATATAAATTTTAAAAGGATGCTCAAAAATGATGTCCAAGATATGTTACAAAGGAAAAAACCTGGGTGCAGAACCATGTGTCTGATATGCCTCCATTCCTATAAAATTAGAGTGTATATAAATGCATAGAGTATCTCTATTAACTGGTAACAGTTACAAAATTCAAAGTTAATGCAGGCAACACGTTTCTTTTTTACTGCTAAAACTTCAAGGAACTGCACAACATTTGAGGATTTCCAACACAGACCAATCTACCTTTGAACCTACAGATTTTAGGAAATGAAGCTCTTGAAAAATCAAGCATTAATATTCCTAGCTGCAGTTGTTAGGAACATAATTAGAATGATCCATTCTTTGAAAGTCTGTAAAATTTGCTCATACAACCATCTGGGCCTAGTCCTTCCTTTGTGAAAGATTTTATTTTACTAGAGATTTTATGTTCTTCATGTTATAGTACTTCTTAGTTTTCTATTTCTTCTTGATTCTTGAGTCAATTTTGGTACCACTTAGTACCCCACAGGGTGCTTGAGCTCAGAACACATCAGTCAAAGGAAGAGAGAAGAAAGGAAGGCAGGAAGGAGGGATGAAGAAAGGAAGGAAGGAAGGGGACAAAGAAGGAAAGAGAGATGGAAGGAAAGAATGAGAGAAGGAAAGATGGAGGGAGAGAAAGATGGAGAGAGAGAGAAAGAAAGAGAGAAGGAAATGAGAGAGAGAAGGAAGGAAGGAGGGAGAGAAAGAGGGAAATAGAAGGAAAGAAACAAGGAAGCAGGGAGGGAGAGAAAGAAGAAGGTAGAGGAAGGAAGAAAGGAAGGAAAGAAGGAGGGAAGGAAGGGAGAGAGAGAGGGAGGGAGAGAAAGAAAGAAAGAGAGAAAGGTGAAAGGTGGGGATGGGAAGAGAAGAGGAGCCAGCCACAGGCTACAGGCTGTTTGTTCACTCTTTTAGTTGACCCAGGCAGTTCTGCCTTTTAAATATTCCACCTTCTGCCATGATTTACACTGTTCAATATTCATTCCTCAGAGCATTCAAAGGTCTATGTGTGCCCTGCTATGATGGAGCATGGCTTCAGCTCCCAAACACAACTCTCAGCCAAAATATTCATGGCTGGTCCCTCCCATATACTCATCAATCCCCCATGTATGGTCTTCATGTGTCCCCCCGAGCTCAAGTGTTGGAAACTTAATCCTCTATGTGATAGTGTTGAGAGGTGGGGCCTAATAAGAGTGATTGGGTTATGAGATTCTGCCCCCATGCATGGATTAATGTCACTATCTCAGGAAAAGTTTAGTTATCTGGGGGGTGGGTTAGTTATCTTGGGAGTGTGCTTGTATTAAAAGCAAGTTCAGCCCCTTTTACTCTCTTTCTTTCTGAAAGTCTTGCTCTGCTGCCTTCAGCCATGAGATGACACAGCAAGAAGGCTCTCACCAGATGCAGACCCCCTCATCCTTGGACTTCCTAGCCTCCAGAACTCTAAGAAATAAATTTATTTTCTTTATAGATTCCCTAGTCTATGATATTCTGTTATAGCAGCAGAAAATGGGTTAAAATGTCCCATTACATGGAGAGTGCTGATCCACAGGGTTGAGATCATTGACTTAGGGCTTGGAGTCTTATACAACATCCCTACAGGAGTTGGCCTCCATATTCCCTAACTTCCAGGAATCTCAAATGGTGATCTCAGACCAAAATATATCCCAGATATTTTGCATTTGGCAATATTGCCCACTTTTCTACAACTTTATCATGGCAGCTTTGATGTGTTCACTTCTACGATCCCTGAAAGGATTTGAGTTCAAGATCCTGCAAGGTTACAATCCAAGGATAGAAGAGCCTAGACAAGAGTCCCATCACCTGGGTGATCAGTGCAGAGATATATCACAAAGTCTCCATAGGCAAAGCCTAGACAAGAGTTACATCACCTGAGTGACAGGCAAACAACAATGACAACTTATTTTCATCCCCACTTCAGTCTTTGAGGTTAGACAGACCTGGATTCAAATCCAAGCTCCACCTCTCACTGTGTGAGCTTGCTCAAGCTGCTAACCTCTCTGAGATTGACTCTTCATTTGTGAAATGAAGATAAAGGCCCTTCTCTCAGGGGCTCTGCTAAGGATGAAATGAGTCATGCATTGGTCAGGACAGGTGACGCTGTGTAACAAACAAGCCCCCTAACCTCAGTGGCTTCAACAGCAAAGTTGACTTCTTTCCTTTTTTTTTTTGCAGGGGGTGGGGTGTGGTGGATGGAGTCTCACTCTGTCGCCCAGGCTGGAGTGCAGTGGTGCAGTCTCAGCTCACTGTAACCTCCACCTCCTGAGTTCAAGAGATTCTCCTACCTCAGCCTCCTGAGTAGCTGGGACTACAGGCGCCTGACACCATGCCTGGCTATTTTTTTATATTTTTAGTAGAGTTGGGGTTTCACCATGTTAGTCAGGATGGTCTCGATTACCTGACCTCATGATCTGCCCGCCTCAGACTCCCTAAGTGCTGAGATTACAGGCGTGAGCCACCGCACCCGGCCTTGACTTCTGAATTGATTTCACATCCATCACGGGTCAACAAGGGGGCTCTGGTGGTCGTAGTCATTCAGAGACTCAAACAGATAGACCCATATCCCAGAAGATCCTCCCACAGTTCCAGAAACAGAGCAAAGAAAACATAATCAGCCATGAGCCACTTCTTAAATCCCCTGCCCGGAAGGGATACACATTTCTTCTGTCACAGCTGTTGCCCAAAATGTCTCAGGCGGCCGGGCACAGTGGCTCACATCTGTAATCTCAGCATTTTGGGAGGCAGAGGCGGGCAGATCACCTGAGATCGGGAGTTCAAGACCAGTCTGACCAACATGGAGAAACCCTATCTCTACTCATTATACGAAAATTTGCCGGTCGTGGTGGAGGGTGCCTGTTAGCCCCAGCTACTCTGGAAGCTGAGGCAGGAGAATCACTTGGACCTGGGAGGTGGAGATTGCAATGAGTAGAGATAAGGTCACTGCATCCCAGTCTGAGTAACAGAATGAGACTTCATCTCAAAAAAAAAAAAAAAAAAAAAAAAAAAAAAAAAAACTCTAAGGCTATGACTGAACTAGGAGGGTAGAAAGAATAGTCATTTTGGTTGCCACAAACCATCGAAACAAAGATGCAGATCATTGATGTAAAATTACAGTTAGTTCCTTCCCACTCCTTTTCAGCTTCTCTTCGTTGCTATGAGCCAGCGTCTCCAGTGTCAGTTTTCAGTCTGTTGCCTCCCAGCTCCTAGTGCACCTTTCAATACGTGCACTGTGATAAACTGGGAAACACTGTTCAATATACCTTCTGGAAGTGAACATTCTGCAGGCATCTAGGCAGAGGATGGAGAGACTGCAGGGGGCAGGAGCTCTCTGCCTGGGCGTTGATCATGTTCAAGCCCCAACCACAGACCTAGGCGTGGTCCCTCAGCCACCTTGTAGCCTTGGCTTGCAACATCTCGACATGGAAACCAAAACGCAGCAGGGCCCATGTGATCTGAAAGTTCCTGAAAAGTTTCCCAGACCCCCTCTTGTACCCCTTGTGCAACCTGCACACAGTGACCTGTATTCTAGAGGGTCCACACAGAGCTGCCATTCCTTCTGCCAGACCCTGTGGGACTCGCATTCTGGAGGCTTCCTGCCCTACAAAGGCAGCCAGACTCCCGCCATGCATCCCTGCACCAGCGGCTCACGGCTAGCTCCCTCATCTGCACTCCAGCGGCTCATGGCCAGCTCCATCACCTGCACCAGCGGCTCTCGGCCGGCTCCCTCCCCTGCACCAGCGGCTCTGGCCGGCTCCCTCCCCTGCACACCAGTGGCTCATGGCCGGCTCCCTCCCTTGCACACCAGCGGCTCACGGCCGGCTCCCTCCCCTGCATTCCAGCCGTTCACGGCCAGCTCCCTCACCTGCACTCCAGTGGGTGGCCTAGTGCTTGTGCAACAGCTGCTGACTAGCTCCAGCCTGCCCAAATCCACGAACGTCTCTTATGTGGTGGCTGAACCACATTTTGTGACATCTGAACACCTTTCAAATCTGTGCTTCCTTGGGTACCTCCCTCTGCACTAGGGCACCAGTCAGAGTTGCTTTATGTCTTACAGTGACTCTTTTATCACAGTTGCAATCCTTTATACCACACTTCCCTGTTAGACCCACTATGTGGTTTCTATCTCTTGATGGGACCCAGGCTGCTACACAACCTAACCCAAGAGCATTGCACGTCATTAGTTCCTCATCATTGGCCCAAGATCATGCTCCACCACCCCTCTCTGCCCCCTGACTTTCTTTCCTTAAGTGAAACCCTTAAATGTCCTCTTTGTGCCCAAAGCTTACCTGCTCTTCCTTCACTATATTCTTGGCCAGACACAAAAATCTGATGCTCTGGCAAATGCAGAAATGGGGAGAAGGCAGGGGAATCATGTCTCCTGCCTTAGGTAAGCACTGAGGGTTATGTCATTCCATTGTGTGAGGAATAAAAAAATGAGGCATAGAGAGCTGCCATGATATGCCTGGACCAATGAAGCTGTCATGGCAGAAGTGGAACAAAGGTTTAGGTGTCCCAAATGTCAGTCCAGCTCCTATGCCTTCAGAACGTGCTGTGGAGGGAGACACCGGGGGACCCCACTCATGCTGAACACTCAGGGCTACCCAGGTGCTGAGACTGGGAACGTGACAGGCTGAGTTGACTCAATCCAGTCCTCCTACACCAAATAAGGATGGAAACACTCACATAATAGAAATAAAGAGAGGGAACGAAGCCAGGAACTATTAAGAGGCTGATTCCTGGAAGGCCTGGGCAGAATGACAGGGAGATTGGTGCAGAACAGAGGACCTAGATGGGGACAAGGGGAAGGAAGTGGCCTCAGTGGCCAGAAGGCACCTGTCCACTGCACAGAGGCTGGAGCCTTGAGTTCCATCTAGTCCTTGTCAACTACAATTATTCTGCCCTATGGCTCAGCAAGTCCTGGAGAAAATGTATTTTCTGCAGGCTGGGGAGGTGAGAATAAAACAATTCAGCCTCAAGAAGTTGAAAGCCCAGGAAATCATAGCACGTGGAGATGGGATTCATACTTAAACTTCCTGCCCTTGACTTCTGGTTTGGCCACGTGACTCACTTTGGTGAATGGATGTGGTAAAGTGGTAGTCTGCCCATTCTGAGCCTGGGTGGTAAGATAAGAGACCTTCACATTTCCCTTTGTTCTTTGCACTCCTGCCATTGCCATGAGAAGAAGGCACCCTGGCAGGCCCCAACCCCAGGAGGATCAGAGACACTTGGAGCAGATCCAGCTCAGCCACCACAGTTCGAGCTGAAACCTCCCAAGCAACCCATGCTCATGAGTGAGAAATGGTGGCCTATGGTCATAAGTCTCTGAGGTGTGGAGTTACTTGTTACAAAGCAAGAGTTAACTAATAGATAATTCTACCTCACATCCCTACGAATCAAAGAACAAAGGAAATAAAACAAGATGTGAAAAGCAGATTTCCAATTTTTAGAATAAAAGAGAGGACAGATTTTATGACACTAAGCAGAGAAAAACTTTTTTTAATATGACACAAAACACAGACACCATAAAAGAAATTACTGATAAATTCAATCATATTAAATGTAGAAGCTTTGATCTGACAAAAGAGGTGATGAATAAAGTTAAAAGAAAAAGACAGTGCATGATATGGTTTTGCTGCGTGTCCCCACCCAAATCTCATCTTGAATTGTCCTCCCATCATTCTCCTGTGTTGTGGGTGGGACCTGGTGGTAGATAATTGGAATCATGGGGGCGCTTCCCCCATACTGTTCTCCTGGTAGTGAATAAGTCTCACGAGATCTGACGGTTTTATCAGGGGGTTCCACTTGTGCATCTTCCTCATATTTCTCTGGCCACTGCCATGTAAGAAGTGCCTGTCACCTCCCACCATGATTCTGAGGCCTCTTCAGTCATGTGGAAGTGTAAGTCCAATTAAACCTCTTTTTCTTCCCAGTCTGGGTTATGTCTTTATCGGCAGTGTGAAAATGGACTAATACAGTGCACCAATAGGGAAAACATATTTGTAAGGTATTTGGCCAAAAAAGCATCGATATCCAGATCATTAAAATCAAAATTGGCCAGACGTGGTGGCTCATGCCTGTATTCCCAGCACTTTGGGAAGCTGAGGTGGGTGGATCACCTGAGGTCGAGAGTTCGAGACCAGTCTGACCAACATGGAGAAACCCCGTCTATACTAAAAATACAAAATTAGCCGGGCTTGGTAGCACTTACCTGTAATCCCAGCTACTCAGGAGGCTGAGGCAGGAGAATCGCTTGAACCCGGGAGGTAGAAGTTGCGGTGAGCCATGATCATGCCATTGCACTCCCACCTAGGCAACAAGTGCAAAACTCCATCTAAAAAAAAAAAAATAGCACTTACAAGTCAGCAAGGAGAAACCAAAGACCCAACAGACATATGGGCCAGGAGCAATTCACAGAGAAGGAGACCCGAAGGGCTGGGAAACACAAGGCACGCATTCAGCTGCACAGCAAAATCCAGGAACAATATCAGAAAGTGTGATAACAAATATTGATGAAGATGAGTGAAGACGGATGTGCGCACTGCTGGCGAGGGGCATAGTGAGGTCTCCAGCCCCAAGGTCATCTGGCTGTGCTTCCTCAGAAGGAAGGGCTGACAACAGACCTGTCCCAAGACCCCAAGCCTCACCAAGCTACGTGCAGGCCTTGGACCAGAACATCAGCATCACCTTGGGGTGGGGGTTGCAGGGGGTTCGCCCATCTTCTGCTCACCAGAAATGCAGAATTCTAGATTCATCTAGAAGATATTGTTGAAGGGAAAAGCAACTTTCAGGAGAATATGTATGGACTACTATTTGTATAAAATTGTAAAAACAGACCAAGGAACACTATCCATTCTTCATGGACATGCACACTAGGTATTAAACATGGATGGAAAGACACACATTGACTTCAGAATAGTGGGGAGGGCTGAGGTAACTGGACTAGAAAAGGGACATATAACTCAAGCGTCAGCGTGAACATTATGGCTGAATCCGTAGTTTTCTTCCCTTAAACTCTGGAGCAAATGCATCCAAAAGCTACCACGTTTGAATTTTAACTGGGAGGTACATGAAAGTTTGATATAATTATCCTCTACGTAGTCCTGTGTGTTTGTAATATTGAGCCATATTTTTTAAACACTTGACACAGCATGAAAGGAAGCTTGCCTACATGGTAACAATGGTTATCTTTAGGTAGCAGAATTCAAGACTGCTTCTTTTTCTTTTTTTCCTACTTGTATATTATCTCTATTTCCTTGTGTGAGGATTTATGACTATTGTGATGAAAAGGTTAGTATTCTAACTCGCTGCATCATAAGCACACACCGTGCCCTGGCTGGCACGATGGAGAGGAGGGAGCGTGTCTGTTCACCTGGCCAGCCCTAGGCAACTCTGCAGAGAAAGATACAGGCACTTCCCCTCTGCAGCCAAAGAGTTAAGAAGGCTTGATGTGAAATAAATCACTCAAGGGGAGCTAAATCCCAGCCTTATCTAATTCTGTATCCTGAGGCTGATTAATTTAAACTCAAAAATAAAATAAACATCATCTTTAAATAGGGAGTAAATACTCAGCGGGGTCCTTAGTTGAACAAACTGACATACATTTTATTGTATGGATTCAAGTGGCCCGGGGTGGGGCTAGGGGTATCTGTGGGGTTGCTCGCTGAGCTAAGGAGAGAAAATCGCCAGTGCTCCTGGATTCCGGAGTGCATTCACCTTTAGCTTCTTGTCTGGATACCCGCAGAAAACCAAAGAACCACCCTGTGGCAGGATCTTCACACAGGAGGTGGGCTTGTGCCCTGTGTCCCTGAGGGAGAAGGGATTAGTGGAGGGAGTGGGTGAAGAGTTTGGAGGAAGCCCCTGATGTTCTTAGAAAACAGTAGGAAAGAGATTGCCTTGCCTGGGCATTGTTCTCAAATAGAAGACAAGAGCATGAACTAAAAACAGAGACTCCCAACTCCCTCCATGGTCCCTGAGTTCAGAAGGGAACCCAGGGAAATGGGGCAAGTAAAAAATTGAGTGGGCTATCTGACATGTGCCTGGAGGGACCCACGAACCTGAGTGAGGCATGAGAGTGGGCAGCTGGTGAATTCTTCCAGGCCTACAGCACAAAGCCAGGTGGACGTCCCAAGAACAAACCATGTCTGCAGAGGCCTCTACTGTGTCCCTGCCTCATGGGCACAATGTCACAGAACAGAATTACATCATTTGGGGTACCATGTGCAGTGTAAGTGTCATAATGGAGCTGGACCCAGAAGGTCCCAGACCCAGGTCCAGCTATGTCTCTGCTATAGTCAATGATTTTATGTCCCTAAAATCCATGTGTTGAAACCTAACCCCTGATAGGTTAGGTTTGAATTAGGAGGCAAATACTTTAGGAAGTGATTTCATCATGAAAGCAAAGACCCCATGAATGGATAAGTGGCCTTGTAAAACGGAGCCAAGGGAGCTTGTTCTCCTTCCACCATGTAAGGACACAGCTAGGAGGTGCCCTCTATAAGGAACAGGCCCTCAACAGACACCCAGTCTGCCACTACCTTGACCTTCCACTTGCCAGCATCCAGACCTATGAGACATAAATTTCTGCTGCTTATAAGCCCCCTAGGCTAAGGTATTTTGTTGCGGCAGCCCAAATGGAAGAAGACAGCCTCTGACCATCTTGAGCAACTCACTTATCTGCTGAACTCTCCACAGATTTAACTGTGATGAAATCCCTTCAACAGATGTATATTGAACACTTACTGTGTATAAGGACGCACTGTGTTATTGGATAGGGTATAAAGCAAGTCACAGTTCCCCAGGGGTAGGCACTGCCGTAGCTGAAGAGCAAACCCAAGTTGCTGTGGCCAATGGGGGAAGGGGTGGGTGTCAGAGAAGAAGAGAACATGATAGAGTCCCTATCTGCAGCAATATTGGAACGTCTAATGGATGGTTCCCAAAGTGGTGATTTCTCATCTTCTTACAAAAACTCATAGTTGTCCCTGTGTAAAGTCTTCCCAGAAGTGCAGGGCAACAGAGAATATGCAGATCAGAAAAGAGAAGAGGACAGAGAGAGCATTCTTGGCATCAGCAGCCACGGACTTCTTGAAGGAAGGAAAGCATTTCTCCTGGATCCCTGCGTAGCAGATAAACGTACAGAAATACATTTGTTTGCTATTTGATTCATGGACTTTGAACATTTGTAGACCGGGAGGCTGATAATCTTCTCCAGCCAGATGGTGTGGGGCGTGGAAATACAGAAAGGGATCAAAGTAGGAGGAAAACAGAGCAATGAGAAGGAAAGCTCTCAGCATGACCAACACAGAGACCTGGGTCTCTGCTACCAACGATAAGAGCTACTGTATAATGATTGCGGTTCTGCAAACAGCAGGCTTTCCATATCACATGTGGCAAGCTCTGATGACAACCCTGTGTGACAGGTATTGTTGTCGGAGGCAAAGAGTTGCTACATAATCACACGCAACTGGTGGAATGCCAGAGAGTTTGGTTTTAATTGGTCTACTTCCTGTTTGCTTTCTATTTGTCCCATCTGTAGTTCGTTCTCCTTTTCCTCTTTCTCTGACTTCTTTTGAATTTGTTGAGTATTTTTATTTCATTTAATCTTCTTTGTTGGCCTTTTACATATAACTATTTTTGCTTGGTTTGGTTTTGAGTTTTAATCATTGCTCTATGGTTTATGGTATATCATATGGTTTGGATCTGTGTCCATACCAAAATCTCATGTGGAAATGTAATCCCCAATGCCAAACGTGGGGCCTGGAGGGAGGTGATTGGATCATGGAGCCAGTTTCTCATGGTTTAACACCATCCCCGCTTGGTACTATATAGCAAGTGAGTTCTCACAAGATCTGGTTGTTTAATAGTTTGTGGCACTTCCCCCTCACTCTCTTCCCCCTGCTCCAGTCACATAAGATATGCCTGCTTCCCTTTTGCCTTCTGTCATGATTGTAAGCTCCCTGAGGCCTCCCCAGAAGCTGAGCAGATGACAGAATCACGCTTCCTGTACAGCCTGCAGAACTGTGAGCCAATTAAAACTCTTTTCTTCATAAATTACCCAGTCTCATTTTCTTTTTTTGAGACGTAGTCTCACTCTGTCGCCCAGGCTGCAGTGCAGTGGTGCGATCTCGGCTCACTGCAACCTCCGTCTCCCTGGTTCAAGTGATTCTGCTGCCTCAGCCTCCCAAGTAGCTTAGCTGGGACTACAGGTATATGCCACCAAGCCCACCTAATTTTTTTTTTGTATTTTTAGTAGAGACAGGGTTTCACCATGTTGGCCAGGATGGTCTCAATCTCTTGAACTCGTAATTCACCCACCCCAGCCTCCCAAAGTGCTGGGATTACAGGCGTGAGCCACCATGCCCAGCCCCAGTCTCAGAAATTTCTTTTTCTTTGAATTTATTTATTATTATTTTTTAAATTATTATTATTATACCTTAAGTTTTAGGGTACATGTGCACAAAGTGCAGGTTTGTTACATACGTATACATGTGTCATGTTGGTGTGCTGCACCCATTAACTCGTCATTTAGCATTAGGTATATCTCCTAATGCTATCGCTCCCCCCTCCCCCACCCCACAACAGTCCCCGGTGTGTGATGTTCCCCTTCCTGTGTCCATGTGTTCTCATTGTTCAATTCCCAGCTATGAATGAGAACATGTGGTGTTTTGTTTTTTGTCCTAGCGATAGTTTGCTGAGAATGATGGTTTCCAGCTTCATTCATGTCCCTACAAAGGACATGAACTCATCATTTTTTATGGCTGCATGGTATTCCATGGTGTATATGTGCCACATTTTCTTAATCCAGTCTATCATTGTTGGACATTTGTGTTGGTTCCAAGTCTTTGCTATCGTGAATAGTGCCGCAATAAACATATGTGTGCATGTGTCTTTATAGCAGCATGATTTATAATCCTTTGGGTATATACCCAGTAATGGGATGGCTGGGTAAAATGATATTTCTAGTTCTAGATACCTGAGGGATCGCCACACCGACTTCTACAATGGTTGAACTAGTTTACAGTCCCACCAACAGTGTAAAAGTGTTCCTATTTCTCCACATCCTCTCCAGCACCTGTTGTTTCCTGACTTTTTGATGATTGCCATTCTAACTGGTGTGAGATGGTATCTCATTGTGGTTTTGATTTGGATTTCTCTGATGGCCAGTGATGATATTGTGGTTTTGATTTGCATTTCTCTGGTGGCCAGCGATGATGAGCATTTTTTTCATGTGTTTTTTGGCTGCATAAATGTCTTCTTTTGAGAAGTGTCAGACATTTCTTTATAGCAGTGCAAGAACAGAATAATACAGTATATGTATTTCACTTAGCATTGGCTGCCATCAACATTATACCACTTCACAGAAGCAGGATCTGAGGCTCAAGTGATCATCCTGTCTTGGCCTTCCAAAGTGCTGGGATAACAGGCATGTGCCACCACGCCTGGCCTTGCATTGTTTCTAACAAGATGTCTGCCATCATTTTTCTTTTTTTTTCTTTGAGACAGAGTCTCACTCTGTTGCCCAGGGTGGAGTGCAATGGCGCCATCTCAGCTCACTGCAACCTCCGCCTCCCAGGTTCAAGCAATTCTCCCTGCCTCAGTCTCCTGAGTAGCTGGGGTTACAGATGAGTGCCACCATGCCCTGCTAATTTTTGTATTTTTAGTAGAGACGGGGTTTTGTCATGTTGCCCAGGCTGGTCTTGAACTCCTGGGTTCAAGGATCATCCTGCCTCAGCCTCCCAAAGTGCTGAGATTACAGGTGTGAGCCACCAAGCTCAGCCTATTTTCATCTTTGTTTCTCTCTGTGTAATGTCCTTTTCCCTTTGGTAACATTTCAGATTTTCTCTTTGTCACTGGTTTGGGGCAATTTGATTATGATGTGCATCAGTGTGTCATCCTCATGTCTCTTGTGCTAGAGGTTCATTGGTTCTTAGATCTCTGGGTTTACAGTTTTTCTCAAATTTAAATTTTTTCAGCCACAGTTTTTTTCAAATATTTTTTCTTCTCTCCACCTTCTTCAGGAACTCCAATTACACATATATTAGTCCTGTTGGTGCTGATTTTCTGTTCAATTTTTTCCATTATTTTCTCCACGTTCCATTTTTGATAGTTTCTACTGCTACATCTTCCAGTTGACTAATCCTTTTTTGTATAATATCTATTCTATTTTAAATGCCATTTAGTATTTTTTCATCTCAGACATTGTATTTTTCATCTCTAGAAGTTCAAGCTGGATCTTCCATGTCTCTACTTCCATGTTCTAGCTTCCCTTTACCTTCTTCTTGTGGAATGTTATCATTACAATAACAGCTTTAATATCATTGCCTACTAATTCCATCTTATTTGCCATTTCTGTATCTATTGATCAAGTTTTCTTCCCATTATTGAGACATTTTCTTTTTCTTCACATGTCTGGTAATTTTCAGCCGGATGGCAGACAACATGAAATTTATCTTATTGTGTGTTGGATATTGTTGGGTTCCTATAAATATTATTTAGCTATGTTCTAAGATGCAGTTAAATTATCTGGAAAGATTTTGGTTCTTTGAGGGTTTTCTTTGAGGTCTTGTTAAGTAGGACCTTAGCAGCCTCGGCCTAGATCTAATCTTCCACACTACTGAGGCAATTATTTTCTGAGTGTTCCATCCAATGGTCTCGGAAGTATAAGATTTGTCCACTGTTGCTGGTGGGAACAACAAATATGCCTGGTTCTGTGGGAGGTTCAAGCATTCTTCTTTCTGTTTCCTTCCGGTATTTTTCCCCCCAGACTTGTAGTTTACACACATACATGTGCTGATCAGTATTTAGCTGAAGACTCTGGAGCTTTTTGTTTTGTGACTTTGTCCTTTTCATGCCCTGAATACTCTGCCCTGCAGAGTTTATCTGAGCTTCTTTAGTCTCCCTGGACTCCCAGCTTCATCTGCTCAACTCAGGACCATCACCAGGCTCAGTTTGGGTTGTCCCTCCTTGAGCTGTGGCCTAGAAATGGTTTGCCTTCTGGTCACCGCACCTGGGCAGTCCAGAGTCACAAGAAACCCTAGGCCATGTGGCAGAATGCCCATTGTCCCCACTTCACCACACTGTACTCTCTCCATCCAGTGCTAGCTGCAGCCACGCTGTCTCACAGTCCAGAATGTTAGCCAGAGACCAAGATTTCTGCAGTGCCTTGGCTGGGGCCCACAGATAAGCATGGCCAAGCAGTGCTCCCAGAAGCCAGCAGATGCCATCAATCAGTTTTACATCCTCCAGGCACTGAGAATCTCTGGACACCAGAAGTGTCCTCTGTTGCCAGAGCTGAACTCTCAAGTGAAAACTCCAGAAGGCCCTGAAATGTGGGCAGGCTCCCATTATTGCCTGTCTGGCCACAAGGACACAGACTCTTTCCATGGCTGGTGAGATGCCCAGCACACTGGGGGCTCTGGAAAGCCCCTTTTCAACTTTAGGCCTTAGCTGAGCATTCCATTTACCTCAGACCAGGCAGTGCACATTATGGGGGACACCACTGGGTGCTGGAATGACAATGGCAGTTGGCATGTGAGCTAGGATTGAGAACCCACCCCTCTCTTGCCCAGCCAGGCGGTGGCCAGTTACCATCTCTGGCTTGTGTCCCCTTGCCAGCCTACTCTGCTACAATTGCATTTCTGGCAGGCAGTGGATCAGAGAAGCACCGGCAGTTGAGGACCGTGTGGAGAACCACTGCTGGCCAAGCATTCCCAACCTGACAGCAGAACAGGAGTACAGCAGTGCTGAGGTGAACTTGACAGAGAACTTTGAGACCATGAAGGCAACCAACACTTCCAACTCATCACAACCTGCCTCTCCCATAGATTTATTGTAGAAGAACTCAACCATCTCCGTGTCAACAAGAAATCATCCTCACTCTAAACCATCACCCTTGGATTTAGATCATGAGGCTGTCCTGTCTTTAGTATGGAATTGAAAAGCTTTAATTTCCACAAAAATGGAAGGTTTTGGGCTACAGCCTTAATAAAACAAACAAATATGAGCATAGTGGTCTACAGATGGAATATCTGGGGCTCTAAACAAACTGCTACTTGAAAGTATAATCATTGTCTTTTTGTTTGTTTCTTTAGCCTGGTAGGACAATGTCAGAAATTTCCTTGGTCATAGGGAATATAAAACATAGTTTGAACAAAAGTAGCAATAAAGCTACAAACTATTTTTTGGTGTATTTGCTTAAGTATAAGATAGCTGATTGGGGCTTTATCATGTAACGTTAGTTTGCTTAGTTTTCATTAAGTTTGTTAAACTTGAATTGTGAATAAATATATGGCTGATTCATATTGTAATTAAACTGCACATTGACATAAACTGTACGTTAAAAGTTGCTGCACACAGTCATCCAAAATAATACTTAGGTAAAACCAAATATAGTATAAACCAATGTCAAGGAATCTACCCTAAAATAAAAATACAGTTAACATGGAATTGCAAAACTAGAATGGGAGAAATATTTTCCCATAAAATCTTGTTTGGAACATTGATATAACACTAGAAAAGAATTTTTCTAAATAACTACAATGTTCAACTGTGACTGTGCATCTGTGAAGACGAGGCACTTTGAATCATTGCCCTGTGGTGTGTGGCGGTACAATTTTACAGAAATGCACTACAATAATTAATAAAATTCTCTAATGGGAAGATTTTAATGAATAAGTATTTACACTATGAATATTTATAATATTGGTACTATTATTTCACAAAATAAAAAAGCTGTATTACAGCCTTTAAAAGCAAATAATAGCCTCACATTTCTAAATAAAGAAAAAATGTAAATTTTATGAAATATGGTTAAGGGTAATTGATAAAATAAAAATTGGGCCATAAATTATAGTTTGGATAGAGGTTGAAAAAAGTGGATGAAAATTTTAATGAGTCCTTTTTGCCTGCACTAAACTTAATCTTATGGGTAAACATTATGATATATATATGGTACCTACTAGCTATCTAATTTACTTTTTACAGAATGTATAAATCCTAGCCTATTGGTCTTAATATTTGAACCTAAAATAACACACAAACATACAAGAGAACAAAATAAGGAAGAAGTGTATGGAGAGAGTGACATTATCAAGGTGGTGGAATAGGGGGTCTCTACTGTTGTATTCCCCTGCAGCAATAAAAACTAGTCAGCCATCCATCAACGAAAGTAACTTTATGAGAGATCCAGGCACAGTGGCTCATGACAGTAATCTCCTCGATTCAGGAGCCTGAGGCGGGAGGACTGCCAGGCCAGTAGTTCAAAAACAGCCTGTGCAATATAGTAAGCTTTGGGATACAAGGCATTATGAAACCTTGCTAAAACCCAAGATCGAAAAGGGCCATTTTGAGAAGGCAGGGCCTTTGGTTAATAAGGTATCATATTATCCAAAGCAATCTGTAAGTTAAATCAAATCCCTATCAAAATCCCTGTTCCATTTTTTATAGTAATAGAAAATGCAAGCCTACAATGTAGGCTGAATGGCCAAGCCAATCATGAGGAATAAGAAAAAAGCTGGGGACATCATACTCGTGACTCACACAAAACAGTTCAAAAGTCACTGTTTGTAGATAACCTGGGGAAAACCTGCTAGGTACTCAGTGGGAGCCACACTCACCCACACATCTGCTATTAGGCCCAGCATATAGCAGAACCTGCCCTAGTGCCTGCTCCACAAAACAAAGCCCTGAAGACAATCCAGCCTGCCCAAAAACATGACAGAACTCACAACCACACGTGCTCCTGGTAACAAGCCCACTAAAGGTAACACCCACTTCAGATTCGGCAGCCACATTGTGACACAGCTACGAGCCTTTTTACTGCAAACCCAGTAAAGATCTCATCAGCCTTGAGACCCAACAGATGAAGATCTTTACCTACTAAAATCAGTTTATAAAAATGAACAGAGGTGGCTGGGCACAGTGGCTCACACCTGTAATCCCAGCCCTTTGGGAGGCCGAGGTGGGTGGATCAAGAGGTCAGGAGTTCAAGACCAGCCTGGCCAAGATGGTGAAACACTGTCTCTACTAAAAATACCAAAATTAGCCAGGCATGGTGGTTGGCGCCTGTAATCCCAGCTACTTGGGATGCTGAGGTAGAGAATTGCTTGAGCCCAGGAGGTGGAGGTTGCAGTGAGCCAAGATCGTGCCACAGCACTCCAGCCTGGGTGACAGAGCGAGACTCCGTCTCAAAAACAAAACAACAACAACAACAACAAAAAATGAAACGAGGTGTTTTCTCCTTCAAATGTGCAAACACCAATGCAAGTCTATATTATGCCCATTCTAACGGTTCTGTTTTAACATAGAACTGGAAGTCCTAGTAGAACAATTAAGTCCTACATCAAATAATTAAGCAAGAAAAACTAAAAGATCCAAATTGAAAAGAAGAAATAACGTCACAGTCTGTAAATGACATAATGTTATATTTAAAAAAACATAAATACTACATTTAAATAATGCGTTTAATGCATCTATATATAAATAGTGCATCTAATAAATGCACTCAGTGAAGAAGCAGAATATACAATTAGCATACACACATCAGTTTTGTTTCTATATGGTAGCAACAAACCAGTAAAAAAGAAAAAAAATCTCATTTACAATAGCAACAAAATAATAGATTTCTTAGCAATAAATTTAACCAATGTGGTGAAAGATCTTTACAATAAAAAATAAAATATATTGATAAAAAATAAAGAAGATACAAATAAATGTAAATATATTACATGTCCATGGATTAGAAGAATATTGTCTAAGTGCCATATTATCCAAAGCAATCTGTAGATTAATTCAACTTCCTATCAAAATTCCTGTGCCACTTTTTACAGTAATGGAAAATAAAGTCTGCAATGTATATAAAACTATAAGAAATATTGAATGGCCAAAGCTATCATGAGGAATAAAACAAAATCTGGGGACATTATACTTTATTATTTAAAACTGCATTTCAAGACAACAGTAAACATAATGGAATGGAATGTTTATAGGAACAAACACAAAAACCAATGGAACAGAATACAGAGCCCAGAAGTAAATCTATGTATCTAAAGTTAATCTTTGACAAGGGCACTATGAATATGCAATATAAAAACTGTAGCCTTTTCAATACTTAGTGCTGGGAAAACTGGATACTCGCAAGCACAATAATAAAACTTGATCATATTTCTTACACCAGACACAAAAATTGACTTAAAATAAAGACTTAAATTTAATACATAAATCCTTAAAAGAAAATCTTTAGAAAAGCATACGAATAGCAACTATGATACTGGCCTTGGCAATGTTTTTTTAAATATGATATCAAAAGTATAGCAATAAAACCAGACACAAAGTTGTAGTGTATTAAATTATTGTGCACAGCAAAAAATAAGAAAACATTTAAGATGGGATAAAATATTTGCAAACCATATATGATAAGAGGTTAGTATTCAAAATATAGCAGAAACTCATACAAATCAGAAGCTAAACAATAATAATTATAATACCCAACTAAAAAACAGCAAAAGACTAAACTTTTTTTATTATTATTATTATACTTTAACTTTTAGGGTACATGTGCACAACGTGCAGGTTTGTTACATATGTATACATGTGCCATGTTGGTTTGCTGCACCCATTAACTCGTCATTTAGCATTAGGTACATCTCCTAATATTATCCTTCCCCCCTCCCCCACCCCGCAACAGGCCCCTGTGTGATGTTCCCTTTCCTGTGTCCATGTGTTCTCATTGTTCAATTCCCACCTATGAGTGAAAACATGCGGTGTCTGTTTTTTGTCCTTGCGATAGTTTGCTGAGAATGATGGTTTCCAGCTTCATCCATGTCCCTACAAAGGACATGAACTCATCATTTTTTATGGCTGCATAGTATTCCATGGTCCATATGTGCCACATTTTCTTAATCCAGTCTATCATTGTTGGACATTTGGATTGGTTCCAAGTCTTTGCTACTGTGAATAGTGCCGCAATAAACATACGTGTGCATGTGTCTTTATAGCAGCATGATTTATAATCCTTGGGGTATACACCCAGTAATGGGATGGCTGGGTCAAATGGTATTTCTAGTTCTAGATCCTTGAGGGATCACCACACTGACTTCCGAAATGGTCGAACTAGTTTACAGTCCCACCAACAGTGTAAAAGTGTTCCTATTTCTCCACATCCTCTCCAGCACCTGTTGTTTCCTGACTTTTTGATGATTGCCATTCTAACTGGTGTGAGATGGTATCTCACTGTGGTTTTGATTTGCATTTCTTTGATGGCCAGTGATGGTGAGCATTTTTCATGTGTTTTTTGGCTGCATAAATGTCTTCTTTTGAGAAGTGTCTTTTCATATCCTTCACCCACTTGTTGATGGGGTTGTTTGTTTTTTTTCTTGTTAATTTGCTTGAGCTCATTGTAGATTCTGGATATTAGCCCTTTGTCAGCTGAGTAGGTTGCAAAAATTTTCTCCCATTCTGTATTTTGCCAGTTCACTCTGATGGTGGTTTTTTCTGTGCAGAAGTTCTTTAGTTTAATTAGATCCCATTTGTCAATTTTGGCTTTTGTTGCCATTGTTTTTGGTGTTTTAGACATGAAGTCCTTGCCCATGCCTATGTCCTGAATGGTATTGCCTAGGTTTACTTCTAGTGTTTTTATGGTTTTAGGTCTAACATGTAAGTCTTTAATCCATCTTGAATTGATTTTTGTATAAGGTGTAAGGAAGGGATCCAGTTTCAGCTTTCTACATATGGCTAGCCAGTTTTCCCAGCACCATTTATTAAATAGGGAATCCTTTCCCCATTGCTTGTTTTTCTCAGGTTTGTCAAAGATCAGATAGTTGTACATATGCAGCATTATTTGTGAGGGCTCTGTTCTATTCCATTGATCTATATCTCTGTTTTGGTACCAGTATCATGCTGTTTTGGTTACTGTAGTCTTGTAGTACAGTTTGAAGTCAGGTAGCATGATGCCTTCAGCTTTGTTCTTTTGGCTTGGGATTGACTTGGTGATGCAGGCTCTTTTTTGGTTCCATATAAACTTTAAAGTAGTTTTTTTCCAATTCTGTGAAGAAAGTCATTGGTAGCTTGATGGGGATGGCATTGAATCTATAAATTATCTGGGGCAGTATGGCCATTTTCATGATATTGATTCTTCCCACCCAAGAGCATGGAATGTTCTTCCATTTGTTTGTATCCTCTTTTATTTCATTGAGCAGTGGTTTATATTTCTCCTTGAAGAGTTCCTTCACATGGCTTGTAAGTTGGATTCCTAGATATTTTATCCTCTTTGAAGCAATTGTGAATGGGAGTTCACTCATGATTTGGCTCTCTGTTTGTTTGTCTGTTATTGGTGTATAAGAATGCTTGTGATTTTTGCACATCGATTTTGTATCCTGAGACTTTGCTGAAGTTGCTTATCAACTTAAGGAGATTTTGGGCTGAGACAACGGGGTTTTCTAGATATACAATCATGTCATCAGCAAACAGGAGCAATTTGACTTCCTCTTTTCTTAATTGAATGCCTTTTATTCCCTTCTCCTGCCTGATAGCACTGGCCAGAACTTCCAACACTATGCTGAATAGGAGTGGTGAGAGACGGCATCCATGTCTTGTGCCAGTTTTCAAAGGGAATGCTTCCAGTTTTTGTCCATTCAGTATGATATTGTCTGTGGGTTAGTCATAGATAGCTCTTATTATTTTGAGATACGTCCCATCAATACCTAATCTATTGAGAGGTTTTAGCATGAAAAGTTGTTGAATTTTGTCAAAGGCCTTTTCTGCATCTATTGAGATAATCTTGTATTTTTTGGCTTTGATTCTGTTTATATGCTAGATTATGTTTATTGATTTTCGTATGTTGAACCAGCCTTGTATCCCCAGGATAAAGCCCTCTTGATCATGGTGGATAAGTTTTTTGATGTGTTGCTGGATTCAGTTTGCCAGTATTTTATTGAGGATTTTTGCATCAATGTTCATCAACGATATTGGTCTAAAATGCTCTTTTTTTGTTTCGTCTCTGCCAGGCTTTGGTATCAGGATGATGGTGGTCTCATAAAATGAGTTAGGGAGGATTCCCTCTTTTTCCATTGATTGGAATAATTTCAGAAGGAATGGTACCAAATCCTCCTTGTACTTCTGGTAGAATTCGGCTGTGAATCCATCTGGTCCTGGACTTTCTTTGTTGGTAAGCTATTAATTATTTCATTAATTTCAGAGCCTGTTATTGGTTTATTCAGAGATTCAACTTCTTCCTGGTTTAGTCTTGGGAGAGTGTATGTGTCGAGGAATTTACCCACTTTTTCTAGATTTTCTAGGTTATTTATGTAGAGGTGTTTATAGTATTCTCTGACAGTAGTTTGCATTTCTGTGGGATCAGTCGTGATATCCCCTTTGTCATTTTTTATTGTGTCTATTTGATTCATCTCTCTTTTCTTCTTTATTATTCTTGCTAGTGGTCTATCAATTTTGTTTATCTTTTCAAAAAACCAGCTCCTGGATTCATTGATTTTTTCAAGGGTTTTTTGTGTCTCTATTTCCTTCAGTTCTGCTCTGACCTTAGTTATTTCTTGACTTCTACTAGCTTTTGAATGTGTTTGCTCTTGCTTCTCTAGTTCTTTTAATTGTGATGTTAAGGTGTCAATTTTAGATCTTTCCTGCTTTCTCTTGTGGACATTTAGTGCTATAAATTTCCCTCTACACACTGCTTTGAATGTGTCCCAGAGATTCTGGTATGTTGTGTCTTTGTTCTCATTGGTTTCAAAGAACATCTTTATTTCTGCCTTCATTTCGTTATTTACCCAGTAGTCATTCAGGAGGAAGTTGTTCAGTTTCCATGTAGTTGAGCGGTTTTGAGTGAGTTTCTTAATCCTGAGTTCTAGTTTGACTACACTGTGGTCTGAGAGACAGTTTATTATGATTTCTTTTTTTTTTTTTTTTTTACGTTTGCTGAGGAGTGCTTTACTTCCAACTATGTGGTCAATTTTGGAATATATGTGGTGTGGTGCTGAAAAGAATGTATATTCTGTTGATTTGGAGTGGAGAGTTCTGTAGATGCCTATTAGGTCCGCTTGGTGCAGAGCTGAGTTCAATTCTTGGATATCCTTGTTAACTTTCAATCTTGTTGATTTGTCTAATGTTGACAGTGGGGTGTTAAAGTCTCCGATTACTATTGTGTGGGAGTCTAAGTCTCTTTGTATTTCACTAAGGACTTGCTTTATGAATCCGGGTGCTCCTGTATTGGGTGAATATATATTTATGATAGTTAGTTCTTCTTGCTGAATTGATCCCTTTACCATTATGTAATGGCCTTCTTTGTCTCTTTTGATCTTTGTTGGTTTAATATCTGTTTTATCTGAGACTAGGATTGCAACCCCTGCCTTTTTTTGTTTTCCATTTGCTTTGTACATCTTCCTCCATCCCTTTATGTTGAGCCTGTGTTTGTCTCTGCACATGAGATAGGTTTCCTGAATAGAGCACACTGATGGGTCTTGACTCTTTATCCAATTTGCCAGTTTATGCCTTTTAATTCAAGCATTTAGCCCGTTTACATTGAAGGTTAGTATTGTTAAGTGTGAATTTGATCCTGTCATTATGATGTTAGCTGGTTATTTTGCTCACTAGTTGATGCAGTTTCTTCCTAGCATCGATGATCTTTACAATTTGGCATGTTTTTGCAGTGGCTGGTACCAGTTGTTCCGTTCCATGTTTAGTGCTTGCTTCAGGAGCTCTTTTATTGCAGGTCTGATGGTGACAAAATCTCTCAGCATTTGCTTGTCTGTAAAGGATTTTATTTCTCCTTCACTTATGAAGCTTAGTTTGGCTGGATATGAAATTCTGGGTTGAAAATTCTTTTCTTTAAGAATGTTGAATATTGGTCCCCACTCTCTTCTGGATTGTAGAGTTTCTGCCGAGAGATCAGCTGTTAGTCTGATGGGCTTCCTTTTGTGGGTAACCCAACCTTTCTCTCTGGCTGTCCTTAACATCTTTTCCTTCATTTCAACTTTAGTGAATCTGACAATGACGTGTCTTGGAGTTGCTCTTCTCGAGGAGTATCTTTGTGACATTCTCTGTATTTCCTGAATGTGAATGTTGGCCTGCCTTGTTAGATTGGGGAAGTTCTCCTGGATAATATCCTGCTGATTGATTTCCAACTTGGTTCCATTCTCCCCATCACTTTCATGTACACCAATTAGACATAGATTTGGTCTTTTCATATAGTCCCATATTTCTTGGAGTCTTTGTTCGTTTCTTTTTATTCTTTTTTCTCTAAACTTCTCTTCATGCTTCATTTCATTCATTTCATCTTCCATCACTGATACCCTTTCTTCCAGTTGATCACATCGGTTACTGAGGCTTGTGCATTCATCACATAGTTCTCGTGTCATGGTTTTCAGCTCCATCAGGTCCTTTAAGGACTCTTCTGCATTGGTTATTCTAGTAAGCCATTCATCTAATTTTTTTTCAAAGTTTTTAACTTCTTTGCCATTGGTTTGAACTTCCTCCTTTAGCTCGGAGTAATTTGATCTTCTGAAGCCTTCCTCTCTCAACTCATCAAAGTCATTCTCCGTCCAGCTTTGTTCTGTTGCTGGTGAGGCACAGCGTTCCTTTGGAGGAGGAGAGATGCTATGATGTTTAGAGTTTCCAGTTTTCTGCTCTGTTTTTTCCCCATCTTTATGGTTTTATCTACCTTTGGTCTTTGATGATGGTGACGTACAGATGGGTTTTTTTGTGTGGATGTCCTTTCTGTTTGTTTGTTTTCCTTCTAACAGTCAGGACCCTCAGCTGCAAGTCTGTCGGAGTTTACTGGAGGTCAACTCCAGATCCTGTTTACCTGGGTATCAGCAGCGGTGGCTGCAGAACAGTGGATATTGGTGAACTGCAAATGCTGCTGCCTGATTGTTCCTCTGGATGTTTTGTCTCAGAGGCATACCCAGCCATGTGAGTTGTCAGTCCACCCCTACTTGGGGGTGCCTCCCAGTTATGCTACTCGGGGTTTAGGGACCCACCTGAGGACGCAGTCTGCCCATTCTCAGATCTCAAGCTGTGCGCTGGGAGAACCACTACTCTCTTCAAAGCTGTGGGACAGGGACATTTATGTCTGCAGAGGTTATTGCTGTCTTTTGTTTGTCTGTGCCCTGCCCCCAGAGGTGGAGCCTACAGAGGCAGGCAGGCCTCCTTGAGCTGTGGTGTGCTCCACCCAGTTCAAGCTTCCTGGCTACTTTGTTTACCTACTCAAGCCTGAGCAATTGTGGGTGCCCCTCCACCAGCCCCACTGCCACCTTGCAGTTTGATCTCAGACTGCTGTGCTAGCAATGAGCAAGGCTCCATGGGCATAGGACCCTCCGAGCCATGTGCAGGATATAATCTCCTGGTGTGCTGTTTGTGAAGCTGGTTGTACAAAGTTCAGTATTAGGGTGGGAGTGACCCAATTTTCCAGGTGCCATCTGTCACCCCTTTCTTTGACTAGGAAAGGGAATTCCCTGACCCCTTGTGCTTCCCAGATGAGACGATGCCTCACCCTGCTTTGGCTCATGTGCGGTGCACTATACCCACTGTCCTGCACTCACTGACCGGCACTCCCCTGTGAGATTAGCCTGGTACCTTAGTTGGAAATGCAGAAATCACCCATCTTCTGCATCGCTCATGCTGGTTGCTGTAGACTGGAGCTGTTCCTCTTTGGCCCTCTTGGCTCCACTGACCAAGACTAAATATTTTTTACAAACATATTCAAATGGCCAACAGGTGTGTAGAAAGATGCAAAACATTCCATCCATGAGAAAATTGCAAATCAAAAGATACCAGTTTACAGCAGTTGGAATGGCTAATATCAAAAAAAAGAAACATGACAAGTGTTAACAAGGATGTGACAAAATATTTCTGTACAGTCTTAATGAGTTGCAAACTGGAAGAGTCATTATGAAAATTAGTAAGCAGGTTATTTTAAAAAATAGAAGTATCGTACAATCCCGAAATTCCACTTCTGTCTATAAACAAAATAAAATCAGCATCTCAAAAATTATCTGCACCCTTATATTCAATGCAGCATATTCACAACCATCAAGGGTATTTTTTTTTAAAAAAAGACTTAACTGTAGAAGCTGAATGGATAAGGAAAATGTGGTATAAAAAGACAACCAAATATTATTCACCCATAAAAAAGAATGAAATTCTGCTATTTCAACAACATGAATGGACCTGGGTACATTATGCTGCACAAAATAAGCCAGGCACAGAAAGACAAACACTGTATATTCTCACTTAAATGGAGAATTTAAAAAGCCTGAACTCATAGAAGCAGAGAGTACAATGGTAATGACCAGGCCTGGAGGTAGAAAAAACGATAAGGTGTTCAGAGTACAAACTTTCAGTTATAAGATAAATAAGTTTTGGGGGTCTAAGGTATAGCTTTAAAATGTAGTTAATAACAGTGTTTTGTATGCTTAAAATTTGCTACAACAGTAGGAGACCTTAAATGCTCTCACTACAAAAAACATAACCATGTAAGGTGACATAAATATTCATCAACTTAATTGTATTAAACATTTTACAATATATATACCTATCAAACTTTTGTAATATACACAATACATAATTATGTAATTTTTATTGGTCAAAAAATTAATGTTATGTACACATGCATATATTCCCATAAGTGTGCATAAAGCATATATAAAACATATACATATATATCAATTACATATGTTATGTAAATACTTGTGTGTGTGTGTGTGTGTGTATATATATATATATATACACACATACATATCAATGACAAAAATCCTAGTAAGCTTCAAACTAAACAAGAGAAAACTATAAAATGATAACTATTTAAAAATCAAGAAAAAAATGGGTATTTAATACATGCTCAGCAATATTCTAAGTTCCTCAATGGCAAAGTACATGTTTTAAATGTAGAAAGTAGATACATTAAACCGTATTACAGTTTAGGAATTATGGCACAGAGTGTTTACAGTGTTAGCCTCAATACATACCAAAAACTTAAAATTTTGAAGTAAGATAATATTTGGTTTTATTATATGGGGCAGAGGCTTAGTGTTCTGATTAAATTATTGAGTATGAATTTCTGTAGAATCACATTTGAAACCTTCACAGGATATGAAATTATAAAGCAGAAAACATACGACATCTGGATGTGGTGTTTCTGGGATTTCTAAACCAAATCCCAATATCTCCACTACTCTCACACATTTTAGACAAGACTCAAAATGGAAATTAGAAAATGTTTAACATAGAGTTCCTTAAAAATCACAAACGACCCCATGTCCTCAAAAGCAATAAAACAGCAAGCAGCCAGGTCCTCCAGTCCCTTGTAAGCCATGCAAAGGGCTTTGATTTTCTTTGTAACCTAGAAGAATGATCGTTGAAGGGGAAGTCCAGTCCTAGAAAATTGAAGAGCAAGGGGCAGAAGATGTCTGTCTCTAATGAAAGCAAGAGAAAGAAATCAGGGCTTCTCGGAAAAGATTTCCATTGGAGCATAGCTTCGCAAACCACACTTTAGGATCTGGCTTTCTCCTTGACCTTTGGTCATCTCATCTGTGTCATCTGCCTTATTCACTCCCACCTATTTGGATGTTTGGCTACTATCTCCTGTCTCCTCACACTCTGGGGTTTTTTCTTTTACTCAATGTAGGTGATCAGGTTTAGCTTAGAGAATAGCCAAGTACTCTGTATTAGAAAAAGTAATATGACTTATGCTGTGATTTTCCAATTACTACTTAGTACTGTACTCAGTGGAAAAAACCAGAACATTATAAAAGAGTCTAAAAATGTAATACCAAATACTATTTCCTCACAGAAACGTTATGATATTTAAAAACTTTTCTAAATTTGTGGGTCCTTAGCTCCACAACCCAGTGCTGCTGAATCAAAACTTCGTGGTGGTTGGCTGGGCATGGTGACTCACAGGGCTGATCACAGCACTTTGAGAGGCCAAGGCAGGCAAATAACTTAAGCGCAGGAGTTTGAGGCCAGCCTGGGAAACATCGCGAGACCTAGTCTACGGGATGAGGGTGGGGAGGAGCGGGAAAGGTGGTGGTAATGGGAGGTGGTAATGCGATTATAAGGTGTGGGCAACCATATTTTGTGCCTCTAAATTTGTGGAGTTACCATTAATCTAAAATTAGGGATACAGATCAGCTGAAGAAAGAAAACGATTTATGTCGAGATGAAACCTCCTCGTGGGGGTCTGCAGCTGCAATACCGCCAGGTGGCAGCATCCCACCTCTTTTGCCTGGCTGCAGCCCCACCAGGAGCCCGGCTCCAGCCAGGGCGCTGCAGCAGGTAGTAGACCTGGAAGGCGCAGGTGCGGGTTTCCTGCCCTCCGGGGTGTCTTCCCGCTCCCCGGACCCCAGGCAATTCAATTCATTCATCAAGCGCCGCCGCAACCATCGAAGTTGGGGCAGCAGGTCCCACAGTTGCCAGCCAAGACCTCGGCTCCAGAACCCGTGGGCTGCTTTCCCCGGGGGAAGGACATTGTCTTCGCCAGCCACGAAGAAATCCGTCCCTGTGCACCCTGTTTCCCATTGCCACCAATGTCGTGTAAACTCTAGTCCCGAGGACACGAGAGAGACCCAGACCTGGCCCCGTGGACAAGCTCGGTGCTATAGTTCCACCAGTTGGACGGGTGCACTCTACAAATCTCGGGGCCCACCGCATCAAGGAGACAGAAAGAAGCAAACAAAGGAAGGACCATATGAAACGCACCTCCAAAGAAACCAACCAATCCAAGAAAAAAAAAAAAACACGTCTCAGGGCTCCGTTGGTTTTCCCGCGTGGGCGGCCCTGACCCCGTGTTCTAGCCTGGCCCAAGCACCCTCCACCTCACCCTGGCCTGCTCAAAGTGCCCTGTCTACCTGAGCAGAGCCTCCCTCTCCAAGGCTGTGTCTCTCTCGCTCTACAACTTCCTCACCCTCTCCCTTTCTCTACATCCCCCTCCAACTCTCGCTCTTCTGTCACCTTCTGTCTCTCTCCCCCTCTACTTTTCTCTCTCTCCCCGCATTTCTATCTCTCCATCCCGGTCTCCCTAGCTCTCTTTCAAGCTGTGTCTGTGTCTTTGTCTGTATGTCCTTGTGTGTGTGTCCGTGTGTGTCCGTGTGCGTGTGTCCATGTGTCCGTGTGTGTGTCTTTGTGTGTCCGTGTGTGTGTGTGTGTCTGTGTGTGTGTCCATGTGTGCCTGTGTGTGTGTCGGGGTGGGTTTGCTCGTAGTAGTGTTGGGGTGTGTCTGGGTGTCCGTCAGCCCCTTTCCCGGGATCAGGCTGCCGGGGCTTTAGTGCCAGCGCGGGGCAAAGCAGGCCCTTCCTGTCCCGTTGGCCACGGGCGGGTCCTCGTCGGGACAAGCGATGATGGTGTGGGCATTGTGAGAAAAAGGTCCTGCGGGGCTGGGCCGGCTGTTCGCCCCTGGGCAACCCTGACGGCTCTGGGTGTGTGGGCCAAGAGGGGGCCTTGCAGGAGGGGTGGTGAGGGATCCAAAACAATTTTTCCGCGGCAAGGTGGAGGACCAGAGGGGATCCCAGAACTGTGGGCCCCGGGCCCTGAGGCCTCCAAGCACACCCTGTCCTGAGCCCGCCCGATGTGTTGGAAACTCGGGAGCTCGCGAGCCGGGGGAAGGCCTGGAGTGTCAGCAAAAGGGAGGCCGCCTGGTGGGCCTGTAGTCTGGGCAGGGGACTGAGTCATCACGGACTGATGAGGGATTCCTGTTTCCTGCAACATGGGGAGTCTCCAAAATGGCCTGTTTGGAAACGAAAGGAGAGCGAAGACACGATGCTGCGTTTCCATGCTTCGCTGGAGGTTTCTGTGTCCCCACAGAGCTCGGGAAACAAACAGTCAACATGGTCACGCTTTTGGGGGCCAGAGACACGTGAGCAGCAGGACCCCTTGCAGAGGGCAAAGGAACGTGGAATCCGGAATCTTGGCTCACTCGGCTTGAGTGTGACTCCTGTGTGGGTGGGAGTATCTGCCTTGCGCTCTGTTGCAGGCTCAGCATGGGGATATGTCATCTGTGAACCCTGTGGATGAAAAACGGACAACCATTCAAGTCTCTGCTCTGTTCTTTGGGGAATTCGCTCATTCCCTGGGAGGCGGAAATCCTCTGAATCGCTCCCGGATGAAGTAACCCAGGCTGGCGATCCAGTGGGCAGGTGAGAGCCCCGCAGGCCGACGCGGCTGTGGGCCGAGCACTTAGCCTGCACTGGGCACCCAACATTTTCCCGGAGTGAGAGATCCTGCTGGTCCTGGAGGCAGAAGACTGCTTTTCTCTCTGCCTTCCTCTCTCTGTTTCTTGCTCCCTCCCTCCCTCTTTCCCTCCGTCCCTCCCGCAGTTCCTCCCTCCCTCCCTCCCTCCTTCCCTCTCTCCTTCCTTCTATCCCTCCATCCTTTCCAAGGTCCCTCGGTCCATCCGTTCTTTCTTCCCTTCATCGCTCCCTCCCTCTCTGTCTCCGTTCCTCTCCCCATCTCTGCCTGAGTTCCCTCCCGCATAGAAAGGGCAGCACCCGGGTTTGCGCGGGGTCTCGGGTCTGCATTTAGCTGTCAGGCGCTCCATGGTGATGCCGAGGAAGCTGGCGGGACAAGGGTAGGCGAGTGACGGTGTGGGGGGGAGGCAGAGTTGGAGAGACGCGGAAAGAAGAGCAGATCTGGCGCCTGCCCGGGCCAGTGTTTCCCGGGATGGAGGTCTCCGCCCACCCCACTGAAGAACGCAGTGGGGGGCAAGAGGGAAGGGATGAGAACTCTACCTAGGCTAGTTAGAAAACCTAGGCTACTGCCTGCTAGCCCGCGCATGAGCAGTAGACAGTCCGCCTCCCGGTACCTGGACGGGCCCTGGGATCCCCGGGATGCTCAGAAAAGAATGACAGCCCTCCTCTGAGTGGAGTCTCTCACGGGACCTGGAACTCAGGGATCCTAGGCAGGTCAGCTGGAAGGGAAGACACGCCTCTCCATACCGAGTCAGAGGTTCACCGCGAAAGAGAGGCCGCCGCCCTGCCCCTACCCCGCCCCAACCCCGCGTCCTAAAGCTCCTCCAGCAGAGCCCGGTGTTCTTCCTGGCTAAGGAGTGGTTCCAGCAGAGCGAGCTCTTCCACGTCCTTCAGCTCCCCGCAGTGGCGCTCGATCTAGGAAAGGTTGTGCCTTTTGCTGAAACTCTGGGGTTGACAGGAGCTCATCTAACTGTCTGGGGGTGAGTGTAGACGAGCGCCCCGGCTCCTGGAGGGGTTGGGAGGCGCCTGGATGGCTTGCATATGTGCTTGACGCGGAGGCCTCTGGGGTCGCGAGCTTCGGAAGTGGAGGTGCCCCGTCTTCGGTTTCCCACGCCGCCCTGGCGACCTGGGGCTCCAGCCCCACCGCGGACTCCGGTGGGACGTGGGTGGCGGAAACACACTTTGCCCCTGTGACTTAGCTTGAGGGTACCCAAGCTGTCCCACTGAGCATGCACCCAGCAGGCTGCCGTGCTGCGGGTACTGGACCTCCTGGCATTTGTTGGGGTGCGGAGGCCAACGAGGAATCTGAGGGTGGTACAGTCCTACTTCTAGAGGAGCCAGGGCAGCAAACACAAAATCCCTGCGTGCCGGGGCAGGTTGAGAGATGCCTTCTGCCTACGCAGCCTGGCTGGGCTGGAGCGGGGGAACGGCCCTTGCCCCCTGGCTCACGAAAGCCCCCTGTGGGAGAGCCCCAGGCGTGCAGGGCGTGTGGGGTGCGGCAAGCCCCGTTCCCCATGCCCCGGTGTGGGTGAACTCGATTGAGGAGGGAGGAGGATGACACCCGCCGGGGGTGTTAATTAGTAAGCACAGTGGCCTCAAAGAGCTCAAATGAAAGGAAGAATTGCATGTCTCTCACTTGAAGTCCAGAGCTAGCAATGATTAAGCTTAGTGAAGATGTAAAATTTTCATCGCTAGAGAGACGTCCACACTTGGCTTCAAAACTTCAAAGGATGGGCTGACTGTCTTTGAGGACCACTGCAGTTGGTGACTTTAAGTTACAGCTAGTGCTCATTGACCACTCTGAAAATCTCAGGGCCTTTAGTAATTATGCAAAATCTATTCTTTCTGTGCTCTAGAAATGGAACATCACAGTCTGAGTGACAACACATCTGTTAACAGCATGGTTTACTGAATACTTTAATCCCACTATTGAGACCTACTGCTCAGAAAAAACAACAACAACAACAACAACAACAACAAGATTTCTTTAAAGGGATTGCTGCTTGGCCAGGCACAATGGCTCACACCTGTAATCCCTGCACTTTGGGAGGCGGAGGTAGGTGGATCACCTGAGGTCAGGAGTTCAAGACCAGCCTGGTGAAAACGATGAAACCTCGTCTCTAATAAAAATACAAAAAAAATTAACTAGGCATGGTGGTGGTACCTGTAATTCCAGCTACTTGGGAGGCTGCTGCAGAAGAACGGCTTGAACCCTGGAAGCGGAGGTTGCAGTGAGCCAAGACCATGCCACTGCCCTCCAGCCTGGGCAACAAGAGGGAAACTACATAAAGGCCAAAAATAAAAAAAAAAAAAGGAAAGAAAAGAAAAAAGGAAAAATATTGCTGCTTATGGATAATTCACCTAGCTACCCAAAAGCTTAGATGGAGATGTACTTGGAAATTAATGTTATTTTCATGGCTGCTAATACAATATCTATCCTTCAGCCTGTGGATCAAGGAGTGTTTCTGACTGTCAAGTGTTTTTATTAAATAATAAATGCATTTTGTAAAGGTATAGCTGTCATAGATAGTAATTTCTTTGATGAATCTGGATAAACTGAATTGAAAACCTTTTGGAAAGGTTTCACCATTAATCCCTTCATGATATTTCAACCTCTTCCCATGAATCACAAATATCCTTAATAGCAAATGCCATTAAGGACATTTGTGATTGATGGGAGGAGGTTGAAATATCAACATTAACAGGAGTTTGGAAGAAGTTGATTCCAGCCCTCATGGAAGACTTTGAGGGCTCAGGATGTCAGGGGAGGAAGTCCCTAAAGATGTGGTAGAAGTCGCAAGACAACCAGAATTAGAATTAGGGCCTTTAGATGAGATTAAATTGCTGTAAACCCATGATGAAACTTGAGCAACTGGGGAGTTGCTTCTTATGGATGAGCAAAGAAAATATTTTCTTGAGATGGAATCTACTCCAGGTGGAGATGTTACGAACATTGTTGAAATAACGACAAAGGATTTAGAATATTCCATAAACCTAGTTGATAAAGCAGCAGCAGGGTTTGAGACAGTTTACTTCAATTTTGAAGGAAGTTCTACTGTGGATAAAATGCTATCAAACAGCATCACATGCTACAGGGAAATATTTTGTGAAAGGAACAAACTTCATTGTTTTAAGAAATTGACACAGGCACCCAACCTTCAGCAACCCCCACATTGATCAGTCAGCAGCCATCAACATAGAGGCAAGACCCTCACTGTAAGAGAAAAGAAAGAGAGATCAGACTGTTACTGTGTCTATATAGAAAGGAAAGACGTAAGAGACTCCATTTTGAAAAAGACTTTTACTTTAAACAATTGCTTTGCTGAGACGTTAATTTGTAGCTTCGCCCCAGCCACTTTGTCCCAGCCACTTTGACCCAACCTGGAGCTCACAAAAACATGTGTTTTATGAAATCAAGGTTTAAGGGATCTAGGGCTGTGCAGGATGTGCCTTGTTAACAAAATGTTTACAAGCAGTATACTTGGTAAAAGTCATCGCCATTCTCTAGTCTCAATAAACGAGGGGCACAATGCACTGCAGAAAGCCGCAGGGACCTCTGTTCTTGAAAGCGGGGTATTGTCCAAGGTTTCTCCCCATGTGATAGTCTGAAATATGGCATCATGGGATGAGAAAGACCTGACTGTCCCCCAGCCTGACACCCGTTAAGGGTCTGTGCTGAGGCGGATTAGTAAAAGATTAAAGCCTTTTGCAGTTGAGATAGAGGAAGGCCACTGTCTCCTGGCTGCCCCTGGGAACTGAATGTCTCAGTATAAAACCTGATTGTACATTTGTTCAATTCTAAGATAGGAGAAAAACCGCCCTATGGTGGGAGGCAAGACATGTTTGCAGTAATGCTGCTTTGTTATTCTTTACTCCACTGAGATGTTTGGGTGGAGAGAAACATAAATCTGGCTTACGTGCACGTCCACTCATAGTACCTTCCCTTGAACTTAATTGTGACATAGATTTTTTTGCTCACATGTTTTTTGCTGACCTTCTCCTTATTATCAGCCTGCTCTCCTACTACATTCCTTTTTGCTGAAATAATGAAAATAATAACCAATAAAAACTGAGGGAACTCAGAGGCCGGTGCCGGTGCAGGTCCTTGGTATGCTGAGCGCCAGTCACCTGGGCCTACTGTTGTTTCTCTATACTTTGTCTCTGTGTCTTACTTCTTTTCTCAGTCTCTCGTCCCACCTGACTAGAGATACCCACAAGTGTGGAGGGTAGGCCACCCCTTCACTCACCAGCAAAAAGATTATGACTTGGTAAGGCTCAGATATTCATTGGTATTTTTCAGCAATGAGGTATTTTAAGTTAAGGTATGTACATAGTTTTTTAGACATAATGCGATTACTAATTAAATAATTAATTAATAATTAATTATTAAATACTCATTAGACTACAACATAGTTTAAGCATAACTTTTATAAGCACTGGGAAACAAAATGTTTATGCGACTAACTTGATTGTAACATTTGCCTTATCGTGGTTGTCTAGAACCAAACCCACACTATCTCTGAGTATGCTTGTAGGTTTTTGGTTGTTCTTTGTTTTGAGATGGGGTTTCGCTCTGTCATCCAGGCCAGAGTGCAATGGTATGATCATAGCTCACTGCAGCCTCAAACTACTGGGTCAAGTGATTGTTCTACCACAGCCTCCTGAGTAGCTGGGACTACAGGCATGCAGCACTATGCCTGGCTTTTTTTTTTTTTTTTTTTTTTTTTGAGACGGAGTCTCGCTCTTTCGCCCAGGCCAGAGTGCAGTGGTGCTATCTCTGCTCACTGCAAGCTCTGCCTCCCGGGTTCATGCCATCCTCCTGCCTCAGCCTCCTGAGTAGCTGGGACTACAGGCGCCCAAGCCAGGCCTGGCTAATTTTTTGTATTTTTAGTAGAGACGGGGTTTCACCATGTTAGCCAGTATGGTCTCGATCTCCTGTCCTCGTGATCCACCCGCCTCGGCCTCCTAAAGTGCTGGGATGACAGGCGTGAACCACCTCGCCCGGCCTGCCTTTTCTTTCTAATGGCACAAGCCCCATGGAGTGTGGTGCGTCTGATCTCCGATGCTTTTGAACAGTGTAGAAAGTATTGCTGTCTGAATTTAATTTTTTACTACATGTATGGTCTCGATCGATCACAAGAAGATCAATAACCCCTTCTCCTTATTCTACTTCTCTTTTTAGCAATGGAGAACTTTGATTGGATTTTTCCTGTCTACAGACAGGAATGAGTCTGCTGTTTTCTTTTTTAAACCCGAGGGGACTGAGCCTGAGGGCCTCAAGCGCGGCCATCCTCCCCCAACCCTCAACTGGTGATTTTGGTGGTGGTGGTGGTGGTTTTGTGTTCCAGCTTCTGTTCTGTTCTTGTTGTTTCTGATGCTGCTGCTGCTGCTGGTGCTGTCGTCATTGTTTTGGTATTTTACAGACTCAGGTGGTGTATGTGCTTGTTTGTTAGAACGGCATACTACTGCCTCCAGTTGTAGAAGTGGACCTCCAGTGTATCCGATACCCATGTGGTGAATGTTGTCTCCGACGGGCGATTTATTCATCCTTCGTCCCCCTCTTACCCTCCTCCTCCCTTTTGGAGTGTCTGCTATTTCCATCTTGATGACCGTGTGCGTACCCACTGTTAACCTCCCACTTGTAAGCAGAAGGCAGTTCACTGGGTATATACTTGCTTCCAGCTCTATCCATGTTGTGGGAAAAGACGTGAAATCGCTCTTTTTTGTGCCTGCACCATTGAAGAATTTTAACTTTCTTGGTGGTTGTTTTCCTTTTCTCTTTTCTTTTCTTTTCTTTCCTTTTCTTTTCTTTTCTTTTCTTTCTTTTCTTTTCTTTCTTCCTCCTCCTCCTTCTTTTTTTCATTTTTTTCAGCTGGGCTCTCCTACTTGTGTTGCTCAGTTGCTCGGGCTGGTCTCAAACTCCTGGCCTTGACACTTCTCCCGTCACATCCACCGTCTAGTTGTTGAAATGAGCATCTCTTGTAAAATTGAAAAGATGAAAAAAATAAAGAGAAAGACAAAAAGCACGGGGTGAACCTTTCTCTTGCCACCTCCCAGGGTGTACCTTGGACCCCATAGGAGGGAGGGAGCTTGGCTGGGTGGGTTTTCGGTGCTAAATCCTCCCGAGGGCCTCCTTCCCTCTCCCCCTTGTCCCCTCTTCTCCCCCAGCCAAGTCTCCCACTGCGGCCATGGGATTTCCCATGGGAGAGGTATGGGAAAGGACTGACGCGGCTTCCAGGTCCATATCCTGCCAGACGTCTCTGGCTCAGCGTCCTCCACCAGCTGCCTGCCACCTTCCAGGGAGCTCTAAGACCGATGCCCCGCCCCCCTTCACGTCCCACCACCCTCCTCTATCTGGCCTTTGCCCGGCGACCCCAAGGGAACCGCATTGATGCTGCTTTTGAATCCTCCAGCGAAGCCTTCCACCAGATGCCCCGGATGAGCCGGATGGGATGGACTGGATCATCCCGGAACTAGCTGTTCTTGGGGGTGGGTTGACGTACTGGGTGGACCGGCAGCCCCAGCATTGTAAAGGGTGCCCAGGTATGGAAATGTCACATAGGATGCCGTCCTTCCCGTCAGCCTGCCTTCAGCTTCCTCAGGCATGAAGACAACTTCCCATCAGAACCTCTTTTCTTCCCTTTCTCCACCACACAGATGAGACGCATGAGAGGGAGAAACAGCTCAATAGATACTGCTGACCTTCATTTGTGGAATCCTCAGTCATCTACAGACAGAGAGGTGACTAGACAGGGATCCAAATCAAACACCATTTCGGGGTCCTCATGGTGGGATTGGTCTCTCTCTCTCTCTCCATCTCTGTCTGTCTCTCTCTTTCTCTCTGTCTCTGGCGCCACTGCACTACAGCCTGGCACTACAGCCTGGCACTACACACTGCACTACACTACAGCCACTGCACTACAGCCTGGGCGACAGAGTGAGACTTTGTCTCCAAATAAATAAATAAATAAATGAAAGAAAGAAAGAAAGAAAGAAAGAAAGAAAAGAAAAGAAAAGAAAAGAAAAGAAAAGGAAAGGAAAGGAAAGGAAAGGAAAGGAAAGGAAAGGAAAGGAAAGAAAAGAAAACCAGAAAAGAAAGAGAAAATGAAAGAAAAGGCACTGTATCGCTACTGGGCCAGGACCTTCCCTCTTTCTGTATGTTTCTCTCTGTCTCTCTCTGTCCATCTCTGTCTTTCTCTATCTGTCTCTTTCTCTGTCTGTCTGTCCTTTTCTTTCTCTCTGTCTCTGTCTCTCTCTCTCTGCCTGTCTCAGAGTGTCTGTCTTCTAACTCTCTTTCTCTGCCTGTCTCTCTCTCTCTCCCTCCCTGTTTCTCTCTGTCTCTCTTTCTGTCTGTTTCTCTCTGTCTCTCTCTGTCTGCCTGTTTCTCTCTGTCTCTCTCTGTCTCTGTTTTTCTCTATCTCTCTATTTCTTTTTCTGAGTCTCTCTGTCTCTCTCACTCTCTCTCTGTCTCTCTCTCTGTGCCTATCTTCTATCTTATTCTCTTTCTCTACCCGTCTGTCTCTCTGTCTGTCCCTCTCCCTCCCTTTCTGTCTCTCTCTCTCTCACTCTCTCTCTGTCTCTCTTTCTCTCTGTTTCTCTCTGTCTCTCCCTCCATCTGTCTGTCTCTCTCTTTCTGTCTCTGTCCGTCTCTCTCTGCCTGTCTCTCTCACTGTGTCTGTCTTCTGTCTTATTCTCTTCCTCTGCCTGTCTCTCTCTCCCTCCCTGCCTTTCTGTTTCTCTCTCTCTCTGTCTCTCTCTCTTTCTGTCTGTTTCTGTCTGTCTCTGTCTGTCTCTTCCTCTGTCTGTCTGTCTCTCTCTTTCTTTATTTTATTTTTTCCAGACGGAGTCTCACTGTGTCGCCCAGTCTGGAGTGCAGTGGCGCCATCTTGGCTCACTGCAAGCTCCACCTCCCAGGTTCACGCCATTCTCCTGCCTCAGCCTCCCGAGTAGCTGGGACTATAGGCGCCCGCCACCAAGCCCGGCTAATTTTTTGTGTTTTTAGTAGAGACGGGATTTCACCGTGTTAGCCAGGATGGTCTCGATCTCCTGACCTCGTGATCCGCCTGCCTTGTCCTCCCAAAGTGCTGGGATGACAGGAGTGAGCCACCGCACCCGGACTGTCTCTTTCTTTCTCTCTCTCTCTTTCTCTCTCTCTCTCTGTGCCTATCTTCTGTCTTACTCTCTTTCTCTGCCTGTCTGTCTCTCTCTCTGTCTGTCTCTCTCTCTCTCTGTCTGTCTCTCTCTCTCCCTGTCTGTTTCTCTCCCTCTGTCTCTCTCGCCCTCACTCTCTCTCTGTTTCTCTCTCTTGCTGTTTCTCTCTGTCTGTCTCTGTCTGTCTCTTTCTCTGTCTGTCTCTCTTTCTTTCTCTCTGTCTCTGTCTCTCTCCCCTTCTGCCTGTTTCTCTCACTTTGTCTGTCTTCTGTCTTACTCTCCTTCTCTGCCTGTCTGTCTCTCCCTCCCCCTCTCTTTCTGTTTCTCTCTCCCTCTCTCTCTCCATCTCGCTCTCTGTCTGTTTCTTTCTGTCTATCTCTGTCTTTCTCTGTCTCTCTGTCTGTCTCTCTCCCTCCCTGTCTGTCTCTCTCTCTTTCTCTATCTCTGTCTCTCTCTCTTTCTGTTTCTCTCTGTCCATCTCTGTCTTTCTCTGTCTCTCTTTCTTTCTCTGTCTCTGTCTCTCTCTTTCTCTGCCTGTCTCTCTCACTGTGTCTGTCTTCTGTCTTACTCTCTTTCTCTGCCTGTCTGTCCGTCTCTCTCTTTCCCTCTCTTTCTCTCTCTCTCTCCATCTCTCTCTTTCTGTTTCTCTCTGTCTCTCCCTGTCTGTCTCTGTGTGTCTGTCTGTTTCTCTCTCTTTCTCTGTCTCTCTCTCTCTTTCTGTTTGTTTCTCTCTGTCTCTCTCTCTCTCTCTGTCTGTCTCTCTCCCTCCCTCTCTGTCTGTTTCTCTCTGTCTCTCTCTGTCCATCTCTGTCTTTCTATGTCTGTCTCTTTCTCTGTTAGTCTGTCAGAGCCCCTGTGCCGGGGAGGGCCCTGACCCTTCCACGAAAGTGAGAAGCGCCTGCTTAGAGAGGCCGAGAGGAATCTAGACAGACGGTCCTTGCTAGGCTTCGCCACTCGGTGTATGATTTCGGGAGGTCGAGGCCGGGTCCCCACTTGGATGGAAGGGGCATTTTCAAACTTTCTCTCTGTTACGTGTGGCGTCCCTACTTCTCGTATTTCCCTGATAGGCTCCTCGACTTAAAAATACATGGTTAAGGCCGGGCGCAGTGGCTCACGTCTGTCATCCCAGCAGTTTGGGAGGCCGAGGCGGGTGGATCACCTGAGGTTGGGAGTTTGAGACCAGCCTTGCCAACACGGCGAAACCCCATCTCTACTAAAAATACTAAAATGAGTCGGGCGCGGTGGGGCAGGCGCCTGTAATGCCAGCTACTCGGGAGGCTGAGGCAGGAGAATCTCTTGAACCTGGGAGGCGGAGCATGCAGGGAGCCGAGATCGCGCCACTGCACAGCCCGGGCTGAAGATTGAGTGAGACCCTGTCTCTAAATAAATAAATAAATAAATGCGTTCTTTTCCGTGCTGACTGACACTTGCAGGCATCGGTTGTCTTTGGGCATCACCTAGCGGCCACTGTTATTGAAAGTCGAAGTGACACGGAGGGAGGTCTGGCCCACTTCACCGAGCCTGGGGCAACCGGTTTCTCTCTCTCCCTTCTGGAGACCCCTCCCTCTCTCCCTCGTTGCCTAGGGAACCTCCGCCCTGGCTGGGGCCCTATTGTTCTTTGATCAGCGCTTTAGTTTTCTTTGTGTTTTGGTTTCTTTCATGCGCATAGACTCTTCTCCTTGGGTTTTAGGAGGGGCCAGTTTAATTTTCAAGTCCCCCCAGGCTCCCCCTACTACCCACGTCCATTTACCTTCGTTTAGTGAGTCAGTTAGGTGGGTTCCCCCAAAACCCCCCAACCCCGCCTCCCAACACCCTGCTTGGAAACCTTCCGGAGCCACCCCGGTGTGCCTCCGTCTTCTCTCCCCTTCCCCCACCCCTTGCCGGCGATCTCATTCTTGCCAGGCTGACATTTGCATCAGTGGGCGTCAGGACTCACTCAGTGGCCACCGTTTTTGAAGATGGAGGTGGCACGGTCCCACTTCCCCAGAGGTAGCTTCCTCGATGGCATAGCCCTTGACCTGCGTGGGCAAGCGGGCGGGTCTGCAGTTGTGGGGTTTTTCCCCCGCTTCCCTCCTAAGGCCTCCCTCCCTAGGAAAGCTTCACCGCGGCTGGGTCTCAATCACCTTTTATCATGATGTTTTAGTTTCTCCGCCCTCTGGCCAGCATAGTTTCACAATGGGAATGACGTCACAGCTCTAGTCTGGGCCTTCTTAGTATTTGCCCAAAATAGAAATGCTTTCTGAAAACTAATACTTTGCTCACTTAAGATTTCCAGGGACAGTGCCTTGGCCCATGTTTGTTGGCTTGTTTTGTTTTGTTCGTGTTTTTCCTTTTTCTTATGTATTTCTTTTTAGATGAAGTAGAAATCCCCAGTTTTCAGGAAGACGTATATTTTCCCCAAGACATGTTAGCTGCGGTTTTCTCCTGTTGTTAACTAACGATTTTGTGAATCTCTGAACGTATAGTGAGAGCCGGTTGAGGTTTACTAGACTTCAGAACATCTTATGTTCTAGAAATCCGTAAGCAAATGCTGCTGCTGCTGCTCTTGTTGCTGTTGTTGTTGTTTTCAAAGCACACCCTGGCCACCATTTATGGGATCAAAAGCGTTATAAAATATGTGTAATTATTTCCTGAGCATGCCCTTCCTACTCCTCTCTCTGTCTCTTTCTCCTTCTACTCTCTCTCTCTGTCTCTCTCTCTCTGCCTATTTTTCTCTCTCTCTCTACCTGTCTCTCTCACTGTGTCTGTCTTCTGTCTTATTCCCTTTCTCTGCCTGTCTGTCTCTCTTCCTCTCTGCCTGTCCGTCTGTCTCTCTCTCTCTCTCTCCCTGTCTGTTTCTCTCTGTCTCTGTATCTGTCTCTCTCTCTTTCTCTTTCTCTCTGTCCATCTATGTCTTTCTCTGTCTCTCTGTCTGTCTCTCTCTTTCTTTCTCTTTGTCTCTCTGTCTCTGTGTGTCTCTCTCTCTGCTTGTCTCTCTCACTGTGTCTGTCTTCTGTCTTACTCTTTCTCTGCCGGTCTGTCTCTCTCTCTCTTTCTCTCTGTCTCTCTCTCTTTGTTTCTCTCTGTCTCTCTCTGTCCATCTCTGTCTTTCTCTGTCTGTCTCTTTGTCTGTCTGTCTGTCTGTATCTCTCTTTCTCTGTCTCGCTGTCTCTGTCTCTCTCTCTGCCTGTCTGTCTGTCGGTAGGTCTCTCTCTCTCTCCCTGTCTGTTTTTTTTCTCTCTCTCTCTTTGCCTGTCTGTTTCTCTGTCTCTGTCTCTCAGTCTGTCTCTCTCTGCCTGTCTCTCTCTGTGTCTGTCTTCTGTCTTACTGTCTTTCTCTGCCTGTCTGTCTCTCTCTCTCCTTGTCTGTTTCTCTCTCTCTCTCTGTCTCTGTTTCTCTCTGTCTCCCTCCGTCTGTCTCTGTCTTTCTCTCTCTTTTTCTCTCTGTCTGTCTCTCTCTTTCTTTCTCTCTGTCTGTCCATCTGTCTCTGTCTCTGTGTGTGTGTGTGTCTGCCTTCTGTCTTACTCTCTTTCTCTGCCTGTCTGTCTGCCTGTCCGTCTGTCTCTGTCCATCTCTTTCTTTCTCTGTCTGTCTCTCCCTCTTTCTGTCTTTCTCTCTTTGTGTATCTTTGTGTCTCTCTGTCTGTCTCTCTCTGTCTCTGTCTTTGTCTCTCTCTCTCTCTCTCTCTCTCTCTCGCCCACTCTCTGGCTCTCGCTATCTCCTGCCCTCTCTTCCTTTGCAAAATAAGTTCAAGTACATCTAATCTAATCCATTACCACGGCCTGAATTCTTAACTTTAGATATCCCAGGTTTGATCTCCCTACAGAATGCTGTACAGAACTGGCGAGTTGCTTTCTGGACTTGGATACCTCATAGATACTACATATTAATAAAGATCCAACCCTAAAATCTGGGGTTGTGTCTCCCTCGACTGTATCAAAAAATCATACTTCTGTTCACCTAGGATGCTGGGAGGGTTTTCTCAATGTGCATCTGCTCGTGTTCTACATGAACTGTGACCGAGCCCTGTCCGTTCTGTCTCAAATATGTATCTGTAAACACGTCTCTCCATTTCCACAACTACCCATGGCCCCTTGTGGAATCACTGGTTCTTTGAAAAAAAATCCCAGAAGTGGCTTTGACTTTTTGGCTAGGAGGCCTAAACGTGCTGAGAACTTTCCTGCCCAGGATTCTGTGTGAACAAAAGTGCCTCTGCTGGGAGCTGGAATCCTCGGGACCATGCTTGCTAGCACTAGATGAGTCTCCGGAAGGACGCACGGGACTCCGCTGACCTGTCCCACCGAGGTCAAATGGATACCTCTGCATTGGCCCGAGGCTTCCAACTTACATCACCGTCACCAGCCGTCAGCATCCTTGTGAGCCTGCCCAAGGCCCTGACTCCGGGGAGACTCTTGAGAACCCGGCCTTCATCGGCTAAAGTAGAAAGGGATGGAGACTTCCACACACAAGGTCCCCACTGAACTGCGAAGATGTGGAGCGTAGGTCAGAGAGGGGACCAGGAGGGGAGACGTCCAGACAGGCGATGAGTTAACTAGGCTCTGGCCACCCCACTCACGTCCTACGTCACGGGAACCCGCGGAACACCGCCGCTTTATCCCCTCCTCTGTCCACAGCCGCCCCCACCCCACCCCGCAACCCACGCACACACACTGGAGGTTAAAAAACCACACGGCGTGAATAGAGCCTGACAGAGCGAGAGCTCATTTCTCGAGGCGGAGGGGTGGGGTGGGGTGGGGGTTGGGGGGTCTGTAGAGAGCCCGATTCTCCCTCCTGGGTGGCTACTGTATACAAATGAATATCGCTTCTTGGGCGGAGGGGCTTCCTTAGGCCGTCACGTTTGCGGGACTATCTCTCAAACCCTTCCTTGAGGCCACAAAATAGATTCCACCCCACCCCTCGACGTTTCCCTGGGCGCTGGATGTATCCTGTCAAGAGACCTGAGCCTGACAGTTTGAGTGAAACACCTTTATTGGTTTTGTGTGTTTGTTTGTTTCTGAGATGGAGTCTTGCTCTGTCCCCCACGGCTGGAGTACAGTGGCGTGATCTCAACTCACTGCAACCTCTGCCTCCTGGGTTCGAGGGATTCTCCTGCCTCAGCGCCACCACGCTCGGATCATTTTTTAATTTTTAGTACACACGGGGTTTGACCCTGTTTCATTGGTTTTCACTGGAGATTCTAGATTCGAGTCACACCTCGTTGTGTGCCACATAATGACTTCTTTTTTAAATTTCTTTTTTTTTTTAAAGCACGATATATCTGCTTTATTTGAGTGGCTTTATATATCGTTATAATTGTGTTATAGATGAAGAAAAGGTATTAAACACGGTGCTAATGATAGTGAAAGTGAAAATAAAAGAAAGGCTATCTATTTTGTAGTTAGAATAAAGTTGCTCAGTATTTAGAGTTACCTAAATATGTCAGCATTTAAACTCCTCCTAGTAAAAGCTGGCCAATCTGAATAATCCTCCTTTAAACACAATTTTTGATATGGTTAAGGTTCTTAAGAATGTGACTCCTGCGGAATAGCTGAACAGACAATACACTTTTAAAAAAGAACAACACAAGGATCAATCAGACTTGGGAAAAAAGCAAAAACAACACAAGTCTTATGAAGAACTGAGTTCTTAAAGTATTATGGAAAACATAGCTATCAGAAGAGAAGGCAGTATTGGTAAGGTGATTGTTACATTTGTCAGCAAAAGCTAGCACTATTTTTTTGGCAATCTTTCAGACACTGCAACTACTACTGCAAAATGAGATATAATCCATTAAACAACATATTCACAAATCAAAAAATGTTTTAGCAATATAATGCTTCAGATTTAGAAGCAAATCAAATGTTAAAACTCAACTCCTATAATAATTAACCCCAAAGATAACCGTATCTGACAAAAAAGCTTCCACAGAGTTATGACTTCAGAATTATACTTTCTCTTGATATTTATTTATTTATTTATTTATTTATTTAATTTTTTTCTTGAGACAGCGTTTCACTCTGTCACCCAGGCTGGAGTGCAATGGCATAATCTTGGCTCACTGCAACCTCCACTTCCCAGGTTCAAGCGATTCTCCTGCCTCAGCCTCCTGAGTAGCTGGGACTACAGGTGCCCGCCACCATGGCCAGCTAATTTTTATACTTTTAATAGAGACGAGGTTTCACCATGCTGGACAGGATGGTCTCAATCTCTTGACCTTGTGATCTGCCCGCCTCGGCCTCCCAAAGTGCTGGGATGAGAGGCATGAACCACCATGCCTGGCCTTCTCTTCATATTTAAACTTTTAAGTCAGTCCAGAAAAATACAATAAATGTCAACAGTAAGTATGGTGTTGAGGCAGATGTAGGACCAAACTTTTTCGTATGTTATTCAGTTGATAACAATATGACCTGGATAGTAATTTCCTATGTGTCTACTTATACACAAGTAAAAAAAGGAAAACAGAGATACTGCTAAATAAAAGGGTATACTAAGTTCTTAATAGTAACTCAATAAACTGGAACACTGTCAAAAAGCAGCAACTAGTGAATTTTTTCAGTGTTTTTTTCCTATTATCCAATAAGTGAATTATGCTATTCCTTTCCAATTTCCCAAGCACTTTTTGTCCCAATCACCATTTCTGTGTTCGAAGAAAAAGTAATAAATCAAGTAACAAAACTAAACAAGCAAACAAACAAACAAAACACAACTACAGTGTCTGCAAAAGTGTGGTAGAAGACTGAAACTGTTGAGTATAAGGATCTGGTATTCTATTATCATTAGTTAACTGAAGAGTTTGTTAAAGACATACATTTCATAAAAAAACATGTTAGTTTGAAGTTATTTACTAGTATGTACCATGCCTAAGTATTAGTAACCAAATTCATGACAATAAAGAGCTATCTAACAAGAAAAATTAGTGACTACAAGCACCATCAACAAGACTTTGTCTTTACACTTCATTACCACTTACCGTGCATTACAATGTCTAGGATTGACTCTGATAGCATTTCAAAAACAAGCTAATACTTTGTCCAATTCTTCAGTTAAGACAAACTCTCGCCCTAATAGAGTATAGACATAAGCATAATTTGGATCCACTTGGATAGCTCTCTGGAAGAATTTAATTGCAATATCGTGTTCCCGTTGCAAACTGAAACAGTTCCCTGAAGCACATCAGGCCTCTGGTGAATTTTTATCCACATCTGTTAAGTCTTTTGACATAACTGAAAGAACAACATCTTTTTGAAGATGCCAAAATGTTGTAGACTAGATTTCCATGCCTTCGACTCTATAATTCTCAGTCCTTCTAACCTCTGAGAATATTCTTTCAGCTTGTATGTACTCTGAAAGTTCAAAATAGACCCTTCCAATTTGGCACAGTACCCAACCAGTATTGTAGTGGTGAGAAGGTAGATGGCTCAAAATATTTATAGCTTCTTTGCAGTGGTATGAACACAAAGCTAAATAACCTTTCACCCTTTCATGAAAAAGGCTCATCAAGCCTTCTGCTGCTGTTTTTTATGATTAAAAGCCTGAATCTGAGGTGTGATTGTGGATATTTTCCCTTCTGAAATAATGGAAGAGTCCAATTTTGTAATTTCCAGGCCATCATTTATGTTAGGTTGAGTTATTCCTCCTTTATTAGTTTTACTTTTTGTTTTTCTGTTTGAGATTTTAGGTGGAAACTTCATTTTTAATTTCTTCCTATTCTCCTTGGTTGGGAAACTGTCACTAGTAAAGAGTCTTGAATTTCTTCGAGGCAGTGCATTTGGGGGAGATGTCATAGTGGGGCTCAATACCTGAGGTGTTGTACTTATTTATGGACCAGAACTTTCTGTTTGTGCAAGAATTGGAGTTACCTCTCGTCTATTTCCACTCTGTGAGAAGACAGACTTTGCTCCAGTTTGGCCAATTCTGGCAACAGACTTTTTTGAAGGGGCTCCGGTGGATGGCACCTCAATTTCAGAAGGTATATTAGTGTAGTTTTGTAAATAGGATCCATCTCCAGGACTTGGGGTTTCTAATGGCAAAATCCCAAAACTTGGGGTTAATGGACTAAGATCTCCTGGTCCTCCTAATAAACTTCGACCAGTTTTTGGTTTATTTTGAACCTGTTTAGATAATATGGAAGTTCCTGTTCCCAGTGGGACAGTATCAGGTGAAATTACGCTGAATCAATAGAAGACACTGGGGAATCTGTATTCAAGGAGTACTTTGAATTGGAAGATTCTAAATTCAATCTGTTTAATTCAGTTGTGTCCTGGGGTGTTTCCGTAAGAATGGTCTCAGGCTGTCTGTGACATAAACTATGATTAGGTACTTGTGTTGTGCAAGAGTTGGGCAGACAGTTGCTAAAGTTCTGTAAAGATGTGAATTTAAACGTTTGGTCAGGATCTGGCTTTTCACCTATTTCACATAATGATTCAAAGGGATACCAGAGGAAAGGCTTTAAACTAAGCCTCTTTCGGTCACATTCTGATCCTTTGGCAAGCCAATCTGTCTTGCAATATACATGTCCCAACAATGGAAGGGGAAAGCAAGCTGAATCACCAAACTCAGTAACAATATCATCATGACTTTTCTGCTTATTAAACACTCCACCAGATAAGATTGTTCCCCTTCTGCAAGCTTGCTGAGATCAACACAACATTTTGCAAGCAGGTATTTTCATTGCGGTGTAGGACAACTGTGTCCTTTCAAGAGTCTATATGCTTTATAGGCCTTTCCTGGGCGGTAAGAACAGGTCGCCAGTAAAAACATGGCTTCTTCTGAGTGTACTTCTGCATGAAGGTGTTCTGCGAGGAAAACCTCATCTCGGTAAGCATAGTGGTTTAGTGCTTGCCATATAGCAGCCTGGACGGGTTCCTGCAGCACCATCATCCTCGAGGCTCAGACCCACTTTCTGCAGTGCCTCAGGCAACCCCCCCACCCTGCCAACCCCCCTCCCCGCCGTAGGAGCTCTGGCCCAGCCAGCCTGGCCTCATTTAAACTCACCAGTTACCAGGGGATGGGGGAGGCCGAGCCAGAATGACTTCTTTACCCTGCAGACTCTGGAAAGCCCGGCCTCTTGTGATCCATTGCAAAGTGAGAGTCACCTCATGTTTGGAAAACGGATTTGCTCCCAAGTTCAGTGGAGGGATGTGGCATGTAGGATGAAGGACTCTCTTCCTTCTGATTCGGTCTGCACAGTGGGGCCAAGGGCTGGAGCTCTCTCCTTGCGGACCGCCGACTCCCTCTACCTTGGGTTCCATCGACCCCACCCTGGGACATGGGCCTTGGCAGATTCTGGCCCTTCCTGGCCCTTAAGTCGCTGTCAGAAACCCCATCTCGTGCTCGGATGCCCCGAATGACTGCGGCTCGCGCCTCTCTGGAAACATTGGAAATCTCTCCTCTACGCGTGGTCACCTGAAACCACAGGAGCTCGGGACACACGGCCGCCATCCACCTCACTGCTTTCAGGAGAGAATGCTGAGAGTCTTTTACCGACTCTCTCTTGACTTGAGTTCTTCATGGGTGTGTGGTTAAGACGTAGTGAGACCAGATGTATTAACTCAGGCCGGGTGATGGTGGCTCACGCCTGTAACCCCAACACTTTGGGAGGCCGAGGCCGTAGGATCCCTTGAGGAATTGCCTAACCCTGGGGAGGTTGAGGCTGCAGTGAGTGAGCCATAATGGTGTCACTGCACTCCAGTCTGGGCGAAAGACAGAGTGAGGCCCTGTCACAGGCAGACAGGCAGGCAGGCAGGCAGGCAGGCAGACAGACAACAGTTGTATTATGTTCTTCTCAGGGTAGGAAGTAAAAATAACAGAATACAGGGCTTAATTTTTTTTTTTTTTTTTTTGGACGGAGTTTCACTCTTGTTGCCCACACTGGAGTGCAATGGCACCATCTTGGCTCACCGCAACCTCCACCTCCCGTATTCAAGCGATTCTCCTGCCTCAGCCTCCTGAGTAGCTGGGATTACAGGCATGTGTCACCACACCTGGCTGATTTTGTATTGTTAGTAGAGACGGCATTTCTCTATGTGGGTCAGGTGGATCTCGAACTGGCCACCTCAGGTGATCTGCCCACCTTGGCCTCCCAAAGTGCTGGGATGACAGGCGTGAGCAATTGCGCCCGGCCAGCTACGTTTTTTTATAATTTTCTATTTTAATATATTTATTATTATCATTATTATTTTTTGAGACGGAGTCTCGCTCTGTTGCCCAGACTGGAGTGCAGTGGCGTGATGTCGGCTCACTGCAAGCTCTGCCTCCCGGGTTCACGCCATTCTCTTGTCGCAGCCTCCCAAGTAGCTGGGACTATAGGCACCCACCAACGCGCCTGGCTAATTTTCTGTATTTTGAGTAGAGACGGGGTTTCATTGTGGTAGCCAGGATGGTCTCGATCTCCTGACCCCCGTGATCTGCCCGCCTCGGCCTCCCAAAGTGCTGGGATGAGAGGCGTGAGCCACCGCGCCTGGTCTATTTATCTATTTATTAACTTTGAGTCCAGGTTATGAAACCAGTTAGTTTCTGTATTTTTTTTTAGAGATGAGGTTTCACCATGTTGCCAAGGCTTGGATCGAGGGATCCACCTTCCCTCACCTCCCAAAGTGCAGGGATGACAGGCGTGAGCCTACCACGCCCGGCTCCCCCCTTTCCCCCGCCAGCTTGTCACTCAGGTGCCAGAGGCCGAGCGGTGGTGTGTGGTTCCCACCCCCAGCTCCCCCTCCTCCGTTCACCACTTCGATGTCTGCGAGTGGGTCCTGAGGGAGCTCGTTGGTGTGGGGGTCGAGGCGGTTGAGCGAGACGCGCCCCTCTCACGCGGGGAAGGGCGCCGCCTGGTCTGGCAAGCGCAGGTCCCGTGCTCCCCTCTGGCGGGTGCGCGCGAGCCGTGTGAGCGACCGCGGTGGGCTCGGGCAGTGACGCGTGCGCCGGCCTGCCGCCGAGGGGCTACCGTTCTGCCTCCGACAGGTTTTGTGTGGGTTTACTTGGAGGTGCTTTGCCTGGGAGAAAGCAGGCGGGTGGACGGAGGGGCACTTGGGGGATTGAACCCACGCACAGCGGCCAGGCCCTCCGCCCAGACCGCAAAGGCTCAAAGTTGCCGCAAGCAGATTTTTCCTGGTACCGCGGGCCCCCTCCCTTCCCCAGGTGTCCCTGAGCGCGTCTGCAGGCCTGACAAGGGGCGATTGGCGGGTGGGGAGTGTGAATCACCCTCGGTGCGAAAGCCTTCTCTAGCGATCCGAAAGGTGTGCCTTTGGGGGTACCGGATCCCCCCGCCTGCCGCCTCTCTCTGCGTTATGGTAGCGCTGCCATAGTGACTCGCTTGCAGAGGACCCTCCTCCGCTTCCCCCTGGACGGGGTGAGGTGGGGAGAGCGAGGGTTCCCCTGGCCTCAGCGGTGGGGACGGAGGGCCGTTCGTCACCTACAGTGTGGCCCGCGCCTCCCCCTTCCGAGTCGGGGGAGGATCCCGCCGGGCCGAGCCGGCGTCCTAGCGGTTGGGAGGCTGCGCGAGCGGTGGTTGTGCCCGGCGTTCCGTCCGGCGCGTGACCCGCTCCTCTGCGAGCCGGCTCTCCGCCCGCTCCCCTGAGGAGCAGCGACCGGTGCCGACCACCGCGTTTGCGTAGCAAGGCGTTGGGCCTCCTGGCCATGGGAAGTGTCCCATGTGGGGGGCGCGCCGGTCTCCCGGAGCTTGACCGGGTTGGAGGATAGAAGAGAAACGAGCAACGTGGCCCTGGAGTTGGGTTTGTGGCTGAGGTCGCTTCTGGGTCCCGATGGCGGGACCCGGGCTCGTGAGGCGGGTCTCGGTGGGTGCCGAGGGCCGTCCGGAGTCCTAGGCGGGGCGCCAGGGGACCTCCCTAGTGTCTGTGGCGGTGGGATCCCGTGGCCGTGTTTTCCTGGTGGCCTGGCCGTGCCTCAGGTTTCTCCCCGAGCCGCCCCTCTGCCGGCTCCTGGGTGCCCTTGCCCTCGCGGTCCCTGGCCTTGCCTGTCTGTGCCCCCCTCCGCGCCCTCGGATCCTCTCTCCCCAAGCGGCTCACCGGCTTAGGCTGTGGTGGCCCTGTCTGGGACCAAACCTGGCTCCGCCTTGTGTGGCACCACCGCCAGCCACTGGTTGGTCCGTTGTCCATGTCCCCGGGAGCGCGCCTTCAGGACCAGGTTGGCGGCGCCCCGTATGGGCCTGGTGGGCGCCGGGAGGGTTTGGGGTCGGCCTGCAGCGCACGCAGGGAAGAGGGTTCCGGGCGCTGGCCGCGATGGCGGCGGCGGTGTTGGAGCCGCGGGCCCGCCAAAGGCCAGTCGGCCGCTCCAGGTGCCGCGCGGGGCCGCCTTGGTGCTGGAAGGCCGCTGGCGGTGAGACCCCGGGCACTGCGGTCCGCCTCTCGTTCGCTGCCCAAACGTCGGGGCCGCCCCGCGTCCTTCCTCCTTGGCAGACTGTGTTCCCGGTGCAGCGCGTGCGTGGGCAGGGTTGTGCCCTTTGTTTGTTACAGGGCCTCGTCTGCCCTGAGAGCCGGAGAACTCGGGAAGGAGAGAGGGGGGAGAGAGAGACACGCGTGCGGGGACGAAACCGTGTGTGCCTGTCGTGGAGCGGGCTGGATGGCTTGCTGGCCTGGTGAGCAGTGGGGAGCGGCCCCCTGCCATGGCCCCCACGTGTGTGTCGGCGGGCTCGGGGATGGTTCTCGGCGTCCCGGTGGGGTGGGGGTCTCGGTGCCCTCCCCGCTGGAGCCTTCGTCCCGCCCTGTCCCGCCGTCTCGGCCCCATCCCGCCGGCTCCCGTTGGGGCCGGCCGAGTTCCCATCGCTGCTGCTGCCACCATCCTCGCCTCTGCCACACCGCGCCACCGGGCCCGGCCTGGCCCGCTCGCTCTCCCCAGCCTTCCCGCTAGGGCGTCTCGAGGGTAGGGGGCCGGATGCCTGTCCCCCTCCTCATCCGCCCCCGCCCTCCAGGTACCTAGCGCGTTCTGGCGCGGAGGTTTAAGGACCCCTTGGGGGGTCGCCCGTCTGCCCGTGGGTCGGGTGCGGTGGGCCGGGGGGGGAGTCCGTTCGGGAGGGGCCCGCCCCTCTCTCACCTCCCCCGCCGACTCCATCCTCTCCGCCGGCCGGGGCCGCGCCGCACTTGCGTGTCGCAGCTGACGCCGGTGGGGGCTTTACCGGCGGCCGTCGTGCCATCGCGCGCGTGCCGTGTGTGTGGCCTTTGCCCTGGGCTGTGGGGTCGGGAATCCCTGGGCGCCCATGGGGTGCTGTCAGCGTTCGCCACCCCGTGGTCGGCACTTCCTCCCTGTGTTGTGAAACCTTCCGACCCCTCTCTGGAGTCTGGTCCCCTTGCTGTCTGAATGGCCGGCCTGAGGTAAACCCTCTGGGGGACCTGTTGTGCCAGTAGGGCCTCCCGGTGTTGGGAGCGCCCTCGCCAAATCCACCTTGTATGACTTTTAGCCATGGATTATTGGGCTTCTGCGTTGATGAAGAACGCAGGTAGCTGTGATAACTAATGTGAATTGCAGGACACATTGATCATCCATACTTCGAATGCACTTGTGGCCCGGGTTCCTCCCAGGGCTATGTCTGTCTGAGCGTCGCTTGCCGATCAATAGTCCCCGGGGGTGCCTCCGGGCTCCTCGGGGTGCAAGGCTGGGGATTCCCTGGCATGGCCTGCTGGGGCCCTCCGTCCCCTCAAGTGCAGACTGGCCACGTCCGCCCTCCTCTGCCGCCATGCCCGCCCCTTCTCCCTCCCCCCGCAGGTCCTGTGTGGTCACGCATTGGGTGGCATGGGGAAGGGGGGCTCCTAGCTGTGAGGAAGCGAGAGAGGGTGGCGCTGCCACCCGCGAAAACAGAGGGAAGAGAGCCGGCTGGGGCCGAGTTCCCGTGGCCACCACCGCGGTCCTGGTTCCTCCCTCCGGGGCTCCCTCGCGCCTCACGCAGCTCGTGGTGCAGGGTTCGTTGGCCCTGGCGGGGTGGAAGGTCTCGTGCCGTCGTCGTCGCGCGTCGTGGGTAGTGTGGGTTTGTTGGGGGTGCAGGCAGGCAAGTAGGAAGGGTCTGCCGGGGAGATGGTGGGGGAGCGCGTCCCGATCGCCGTGGTTCGCCTCCGCCCCTGGTGGCTGCCCGGCAACCGGCACACCGCTGCTCCAGCGCCCCTCCTCCCCAACACCCCTCCAAGCCACAGTCCTCCTCTCCCGCCCGCCCCCCGCCTGCCGGGCGCGCATCGCGGTTGTGTCCGGGGACGGAAGCCCGCCACGCGGCCCGTCTGGCAGGGCTTGTGGCCGAGGTCCTGGGGTTCGCGTGCCCCTGGCGGTGACTCGCTGGATGCTGCGGTGTTGTCCGCCATCGTGCGCCCGCCTCCGTCTCTCGGCCGCGCAGTGCCTGGGGCCCGGTCTGTAGCTTCCACGTCAGGCCAGGGCGGCACCGCTGCGTCCTCGGACCAGTCCCCCACCTCCATTTAGTACGTAGGAAATCCCATGTAACTTAGCAAAGCTAGGAAGTCCCTAAACTCCGCGCAGCCACTGTAGGGGTGGCCTCCCAGTAGCATCGTTAACACCAATTGTAATTGGTAGGCAATCACTTAGTTTCACATTTCATTACCCCATTTATACAAATGTGTAAAAAAAAATACAGCTTTAATAAAAGGGAGTAAAGGATAATATGAGTAATATTCACAATCTCTAGTTGGAAGAGGTAGTGTTTTCTCAGAAATGATGCATTCCTGGAGCAAGGTCATTTTGTGTTTGGTTTGTTAAATATATATTTCCATTTTGAAAAACCACTGGAAAAGCCCAGCTTCACAAGGACGCTCCATGAGAACGATCACACAAAAGAACACCCATAACACAAAATCAAAACAAGGGTGGTCCAGGCGTCACATTAAAGACTCATTACCAAGTTTTCTTAGAAGAGATAAAGAACACAAAGTTACTTTTATGTGATGGAAAACAGAGAGAAAGAGTAAATACAACAATAAATGTTAGGCAACAACAGTGAAAACCAAGCTGTGGAAAAAAATGAATGGAAATGTTTTGTTTGGTATTGATTTCCTATCCTGATATCAGAAAGTATGGGAAAGAACAAAGCACATTTTTTTGAGACAAATAGAACATAAAACAAATGAATGTTAAAGACTATTTTACAGTGCTAACAAAACTATCTGTGACTTGTTTTTTCCATTTAAAAATATGATTTTGTACAATTACATTTATATAAATTATTGAAATAAAATTGTAAAGATGGAGAACATGCTATGGGGTTGCCAAGGGGAAGGGATGGAGGAAAACGTGTCAGAGTTTCAGCAAAGATCGCAAGTTGGAGCCTGGTGATGAGGCTACAGTTCTGTATCTTGACTGTGGAAGTGGTAGTTACAGAGATCTACACCACATAAAAATGCACAGAACACACGCACACGCATACACACATACAAAAATGAATGCATACAAAATGGTTGCGATCCGAGTAAGCTTTCTGAATTGTACCTATGTCAGTTTCCAGGTATTGATAATGCTCTATTGCTATGTGAGAAGTCACCACTGGAATTAGTGAAGAGTACCTAAGACATCATTGTACCTTTTGCAACTTCCTGTGAATCTATAATTATTTCGAAAGAAACTTCAAAGTCATAGCAGACTTTCACTTCAAAGAGGAAAAAACTGAAGATTAATGAAATTGTTGAAGAACATCAAATACTCAGTAGTCTGTATGAGAGCTGTATTCTGTCCACTCGCAGCACAGCTGTCATTTAGCCTTTTCCTGACGTGCCCTGGAGGACTTGAGCTCCTCTTGTATTGCCAAGGCCAATAGTGTTTATTTGTTACTAACTTTGTACTGAACCCCCCAAAAATGAAAAGTGATTGAATAATCATTTATAATAGCAACTAGTAATTTTACTTATAAAGAGACAATAGTGGCAACGAATTTAAATATTTAGGGTATAGAATAGGACCTTCATTAGGCAATACTGGCAAAATTTAGAAAGGAAAAATAAGGAATCAGAAACATAAGTAGTTCAGTATTGTGAAAAAATTCTGGATCTGAGAGGAAAAAGAACAGAGATTGTATTGCGTTTCTGCTCCAAACCTGATGAATCACCTAAAGTGTGTTGTGTTTCTGTGCCAAAGCTGCTGAATCACCTTAGGCAATGCATGCCCTTTCCCTGAAACTGTTTTCTTTTCTACAAAATAAAGTGAGCTAGATCATCTCCGAGGTCCCCCAAATATTCACATTTTTGGCTCTACATGAACTTCAGTTGAATTCCTAATTTCAGTGTGGATAATACATGTGTGCTGCACCACAAGCAGTGTTTCTAAATGCTCATGTTGGTCCTAAAAACTAATTATGAGCAGTTTGGAAATTCCGTTGTTGTAGAATCTGCAAAGGGATATTTGTGAGTGCTTTGAGGCCATGGTGAAAAAGGAAATACCTTCACATAAAAACTATAAAGAAGGTTTCTGAGAAACTGCTTTGTGATGTGTGCATTCATCTCCCCGATTAAAACGTTTCATTCCTTTAATCAGTCTGGAAACTCTGTTCTTGTACAATCTGCAAAGTGGTATTTGTGAGTGCTTTGAGGCCTATGGTGAAAAAGGAAATATCTTCACATAAAAACTAGACAGACGCTTTCTGAGAAACTACTTTGTGATGTGTGCATTCATCTCACAGAGTTAAACCATTCTTTTGATTGAAATGCTTGGAAATAGTGTTTTTGTAGAATCTGCAGAGGGATATTTGTGAGTGCTTTGAGGCCTATGGTGAAATAGGAAATATCTTCACATAAAAACTAGAAAGAAGGTTTATGAGAAACTGCTTTGTGATGTGTGCATTCATCTCACAGAGTTGAACCATTCTTTTGATTGAGCAGTTTGGTAACAGTCTTTTTGTAGAATATGCAAAGGGATATTTGTGAGCACTTTGACGCCTATGGTGAGAAAGGAAATATCTTTACATAAAAACTAGACAGAAGGTTTCTGAGAAAATGCGTTGTAATGTGTGCATTCATCTCACAGAGGTAAACGTTTCTTTTCATTGAGCAGATGGGAAACTCTTTTCTTGTAGAATCTGCAAAGGGATATTTGTGAGCAGTTTGAGGCCTATGGTGAAAAAGGAAATATCATCGCATAAAAACTTGACAGAAGTTTCTGAAAAACTTCCTGGTTATGTATGCATTCATCTCACAGAGTTGAACTATTCTTTTGATTGAGCAGTTTGGAAACAGTATTTTTGTAGAATCGACAAAGGGATATTTGTGAGTGCTTGGAGGCCAATGGTGAAAAAGGAAATATCTTCACATAAAAAACAGACAGAAGCTTTCTGAGAAACTTTTTGTGATGTGTGCATTCATCTCACATAGTTGAACCATTCTTTTGATTGAGCAGTTTGGTAACAATCTTCTTGTAAAATCTGCAAAAGGATATTTCTGAGCGCTTTGAAGCCTATGGTGAAAAAGGAAATATCTTCACATAAAAACTAGAAAGAAGGTTTCTGAGAAACTGCTTTGTGTTGTGTGAATTCATCTCACAGAGTTAAACCTTTCTATTGATTGAGCATATTGGAAACAGTCTTTTTGTAGAATCTGCAAAGGGATATTTGTGAATGCTTTGAGGTCTATGGTGAAAAAGGAAATATCTTCACATGGGACAGAAGCTTTCTGAGACACTTCTGTGTGATGTGTGCACTCATCTCACACTGTTGAACCATTCTTTTGATTGAGCAGTCTGGAAACAGTGTTTTTGTAGAATCAGCAAAGGGATATTTGTGAGCGCTTTGAGGCCTATGGGAAAAAAGGAAATAACTTCACATAAAAACTAGACAGAAGGTTTCTGAGAAACTACTTTGTAATGTGTGCATTCATCTCACAGAGGTAAACGTTTGTTTTCATTGAGCAGATGGGAAACTCTTTCCTTGTAGAATCTGCAAAGGGATATCTGTGAGTGCTTTGAGGCCTATGGTGAAAAAGGAAATATCTTCATATAAAATGCAGACAGAAGCTTTCTGAGAGACTTATTTATGATGTGTGCATTCATCTCATAGAGTTGAAACATTCATCTTCTTCTTTTTCTTTTTGGAGCTCTGGGTTTTTTTATTTATTTACTTTTATTATTATTATACTTTAAGTTTTAGGGTACATATGCACAGTGTGCAGGTTTGTTACATATGTATACATGTGTCATGTTTGTGTGCTGCACCCATGAACTCATCATTTAGCATTAGGTATATCTCCTAATGCTATCCCTCCCCCTCCGCCCACCCAACTACAGTCCCTGATGTGTGGTGTGTGATATTTTGCTTCCTGTGTCCATGTGTTCTCATTGATCAATTCCCAACTATGAGTGAGAACATGTGGTGTTTGATTTTTTGTCCTTTCAATAGTTCATTGAGAATGATGGTTCCCAGCTTCATCCATGTCCCTAAAAAGGACAGGAACTCATCATTTTTTATGGCTGCATAGTATTCCATGGTGTATATGTGCCACATTTTCTTCATACAGTCTATCGTTGTTGGACATTTAGGTCGGTTCCAAGTCTTTGCTATTGTGAATAGTGCCGCTATAAACATATGTGTGCATGTGTCTTTAAAGCAGCATGACTTATAATCCTTTGGGTATATACCCAGTAATGGGATGGCTGGGTCAAGTGATATTTCTAGTTCTAGATCCCTGAGGAATCACCACACTGACTTCCACAATGGTTGAACTAGTTTACAGTCCCACCAACAGTGCAAAAGTGTTCCTATTTCTCACATCCTCTCCAGCACCTGTTGTTTCCTGACTTTTTAATGATCGCCATACTAACTGGTGTGAGATGATATCTCAATGTGGTTTTGATTTGCATTTCTCTGATAGCCAGTGATGATGAGCATTTTTTCATTTGTTCATTGGCTGCATAAATATCTTCTTTTGAGCAGTGTCTGTTCCTATCCTTCAACCACTTTTTGATGAGGTTGTTTTTTTTTCCTGTAAATTTGTCTGAGTTCATTGTAGATTCTGGATATTAACCCTTTGTCAGATGAGTAGGTTGCAAAAATTTTCTCCCATTCTGTAGGATGCCTGTTCCCTCTGATGGTGGTTTCTTTTGCTGTGCAGAAGCTCCTTAGTTTATTTAGATCCCATTTGTCAATTGTGGCTTTGTCGCCATTGCTTTAGGTGTTTTAGACATGAAGTCCTTGCCCATGCCTATGTCCTGAATGGTATTGCCTAGGTTTTCTTCTAGGGATTTTATGTGAAGCATTCTTTTGATTAATCAGTTTGGATACTCTGTTCTTGTAGAATCTGCAAGGAGATATTTGTGAGCGCTTTGAGGCCTTTGGTGAAAAAGGAAATACCTTCACATAATAGACAGAAGTTCTCTGAGAAACCTCCCTGTCATGTATGCATTCATCTCACAGAGTTGAAACAGTCTTTTTGCTGAGCAGTTTGAAAACTGTCTATTTGTAGAATCTGCAAAGGGATATTTATGAGCACTTTGAGGCCTATGGGAGAAAGGAAATATCTTCACATAAAAACTAGACAGAAGATTTCTGAGAAGCCTCTTTGTGATGTGTACATTTATCTCACAGAGTTGAACCATTCTTTCGATTGAGCAGTTTGTAAACAGACTTTTTGTAGAATCTGCAAAGGGATATTTTTCAGCTCTATGAGGCCTATGGTGAAAAAGGAAATATCTTCAATAAAAACTATAAAGAATTTTTCTGAGAAGCTGTTTTGTAAGATGTGCACTCATCTCAGAGAGATAAAAGTTTCTATTCTTTGATAAGTCTGGAAACTCTGTTCTTGTAAAATCTGCAAAGGGATATTTGTGAGTGGCTTTAGGCCTATGGTGAAAAAGGAAATATCTTCACATAAAAACTAGACAGAAGATTTCAGAGAAAGTTCTTTGTGATATGTGCATTCATCTCACAGAGTTTAACCGTTCTTTTGATTGAAAAGTTTGGAAACAGTCCTTTCAGAGAATCTGCAAAGGGATATTTCTGAGCCCATTGAGGCCTATGGTGAGATATGAAATATCTTCCCATAAAAACTAGACAGAATGTTTCTAAGAAACTTCTTTATGATGTGTGCTTCCATCTCACAGAGTTGAACCTTTCTTTTGATTGGGCAATTTGAAAACACTCTTTTTGTAGAATCTGCAAATGGATATTTGGAGCACTTTGAGGCCTATGGTAAAAAAGGAAATATCATCACGTAAAAATTAGACGGAAGGATTCTGAGAAACTTCTTTGTGACGTTTGCATCCATCTCACACAGTTGAACATTTCTTTGATTGAAGATTTGGAAACAGTCTTTTTGTAAAATCTACAAAGGGATAATTGTGGACCCTTTGAGGCCTATGGTGAAGTAGGAAATATCTTCACATAAAAACTACACAGAAACATTCTGAGAAACTTTTTTGTGATGGGTCCATTCATCTCACAGAGTTGAAGCTTACTTTTGCTAGAGCAGTTTGGAAACAGTCCTATTGTAGTATCCCCAAAGGGATATTTCTGAGCCCATTGAGGCCTTTGGTGATATAGGAAATACCTTCACATGAAAGCTAGGCAGAAGCTTTCTGAGAAACTTCTTTTCAATGAGTGCTTTCATCTCAAAGAGTTGAACGTTTCTTTTGACTGAGCAGTTCGGAAACACTCTTTTTGCAGAATCTGCAAATGGATAATTGGAGTGTTTTGAGGCCTATGGTGAAAAGGAAATATCTTCACAAAACAACTGAACAGAAGCTTTCTGAGAAACTACTTTGTTATGCATGCATTCATCTCACAGAGTTGAAACTTTCTTTTGATTGAGCCGTTTGTAAACAGTCTTTTTGTATAATCTGCAAATGGATATTTGGAGCACTTTGAGGACTATAGTGAAAGAGGAAATATCTTCACAAAAAAACTAGAAAGAAACATCCTGAGAAACTTCTTTGTGATATGTGCTTTCATCTCACAGAGTCAAACCTTTCTTTTCATTGAGCAGTTTGGAAACAGACTTTTTATAGAATCTGGAAATGCATATTCGGAGTGCTTTGAGGCCTATGGTGAAAAAGGAAATTTCTTCAGATAAACACTAAACAGAAGCTTTCTGAGAAACTTCTTTGTGATGCGTGCATTCATATCACAGAGCTGAAACTTTCTTTTGATTTAGCAGTTTGTAAACAGTCTTTTGGTAGAATCTGCAAATGGATACTTTCAGTGCTTTGAGGCCTGTGGTGAAAAAGGAAATATCTTCACAAAAAACTAGAAAGGTACATTCTGAGAAATTTCCTTGTGATGTGTGCTTTCAATTCACAGAGTTGAAATTTTCTTTTCATTGAGCAATTTGGAAACAGTCTTTTTGTGGAATCTGCAAAAAATATTTTGGAGCGCTTTATGGCCCACGGTGAAACAGGAAATATCCTCACAAAAAAACTAGACAGAAGCTTTCTGAGAAACTTCTTTGTGATGCGTGTTTTCAACTCACAGAGTTGTACCTTTCTTTTGATTGAGCAGTTTGGAAACAGTCTTTTTGTGGAATCAGCAAATGGATGCTTGGAGCACTTTGAGGCCCATGGTGAAAAAGGAAATACCTTCACATAAAAAATAGACAGAAGCATTGTAAGAAACATCTCTGTGATGTGTGCTTTCATCTCATAGAGTTGAACCTTTCTTTGATTGAGCAGCTTGGAAACAGTCTTTTTGTGGAATCAGTAAATGGATGTTTGGAGTGCTTTGAAGCCCATTGTGAAAAAGGAAATACCTTCACATAAAAAATAGAAGCATTGTGAGAAACATCTCTGTGATGTGTGCATTCATCTCATAGTGTTGAACCTTTGTTTGATTGAGCAGTTTGGAAACTGTCCTTTTGTAGAATCTGCAAAGGGATATTTCTGAGCCCATTGAAGCCTAGGGTGAAAAAGAAATGTCTTCACATAAAAACTAGACAGAAGCATTCTGATAAACTTTTTTGTGATGAGTCCATTCATCTCACAGAGTTAAAACTTTCTTTGGATTGAGCAGTTTGGAAACAGTCTTTTGGTAGAATCTGCAAAAAATATTTTTGAGCCCTATATGGCCCAAGGTGAAATAGGAAACATCTTCACAAAAAAACTAGACAGAAGCATTCTGAGAAACTTCTTTGTGACGTGGGCTTCCGTGTCACAGAGTTGAACCTTTCTTTTGATTGAGCAGTTTGGAAAAACTCTTTTTGTAGAATCTGCAAATGGGTATTTGGAGTGCTTTGAGGCCTATGGTCAAAAAAGAAATACCTTCACATAAAAACTAGACAGATGAATTCTGTGGAACTTCTTTGTGATGTGTGCATTCATCTCACAGAGTTGAAACTTTCTTTGGATTCAGCAGTTTTCTAAACAATCCTTTTGTAGAATCTGCAAAGGGATATTTCTGAGCCCATTGAGGCCTATGGTGAAAAAGGAAATATCTTCAAATACAAACAAAACAGAAGCTTTCTGAGAAGCTTCTTTGTGATGTGTGCATTCATCTCACAGAGTTGAATCTTTCTGTTGATTGAGCAGTTTGGAAACGTCTTTTTGTAAAATCTGCAAAAGGATATTTCTGAGCCATTTGAGGCCGATGGTGAAAAAGAAATTTCTTCACATAAAAACTAGACAGAAGCATTCTGAGAAACTTGTTTCTGATATGTGCATTCACCTCACAGGGTTGAACCTTTCTTTTGTTTGAGCAGTTTGGAAACAGTCTTTTTTTTAAATATGCAAACGGATATTTGTGAGCCCTTTACAGACTATGGTGAAATAGGAAATAACTTCACATAAAAATAAGACAGAATCTTTCTGAGAAAATGCTTTGTGATTTGTGCTTTCATCTCACAGAGATGAACTTTTCTTTTGATTGAACAGTTTGGAAACAGTCTTTTTGTAGAATCCGCAAATGGATATTTGCAGCGCTTTTAGGCCTATGGTGAAAAAGGAATTATCTTCACAAAAACACTAAAAAGAAGCTTTCTGAGAAACTTCTTTGTGATGTGTGGATTCATATCACAGAGCTGATCCTTTCTTTTGATTGAGCAGATTGGAAACCATCTTTTTGTACAACCTGAAAAGGGATATTTCTGAGCCATTTGATGCCTATGGGGAAAAAGAATTATCTTCACATAAAAACTAGACAGAATCATTCTGAGAAATTTCCTTGTGATGTGTGCCTACATCTCACAGAGTTGAACTTTACTTTTCTTGGAGCAGTTTGGAGAAAGTCTTTTTGTAGTATCTGCAGAGGGATATTTGTGAACAGTTAAAGGCCTATGGTGAAAAATAAAATATCTTCACATAAAAACTATACAGAAGCATTCTGAGAAACTTATTTTTTATGTGTGCATTCATCTCACAGAGATTAATCTTTCTTTTCATTGAGCAGTCTGGAAACAGTCTTTTTACACAATGTGCAAAGGGATATTTCTGAGCCCATTGAGGCCTAGGGTGAAAAAAAATATCTTCACATTAAAAACTGGACAGATGCATTCTGAGAAACTTCTTTGTGATGTGTCCATTCATCTCACAGAGTTGAACCTTTCTTTGGAATGAGCAGTTTGGAAAAAGTTTTTTTGTAGTATTTGCAAAAAATATTTGTGAGCCCTTTATGGCCTATGGTGAAAAAGGAAATATCTTCACATAAAAACTACACAGAAGCATTCTGAGAAACTTCTTTTTTATGTGTGCATTCACCTCACAGATTTGAAACTTTCTTTTCATTGAGCAGTTCAGAAAGTCTTTTTGTAGAATCTGCAAAGGGATATTTTTGATTCCTTTGAGGCCTGTGGTGAAATAGGAAATATCCTTAAATAAAAACTAGACAGAAGCTTTCTGAGAACCTTCTTTTTGATGTGTGCTTTCATCTCACAGAGTTGAACCTTTCTTTTGATTGAGCAGTTTGGAAACAGTCTTTTTGTGGAATCTGCAAATGGATGTTTGGAGTGTTTTGAGGCCTATGGTGAAAAAGGAAATATCTTCACATAAAAACTAGATGAAAGCATTCTGAGAAACTTCTTTGTGACGTGTGCATTCATCTCATGTTGTTGAGGCTAGCTTTTGATTTAGCAGGTTGGAAACAGTCCTTTTGTTGTATCTGCAGAGGGATATTTGTGAGCAGTTTGAGGCCTATGGTGAAAAAGGAAATACCTTCACATAAAAACTAGACAGAAGCATTCTGGGAAACTTCTCTGTGATGTGTGCATTCAACTCACAGAGGTGAACCTTTCTTTAGATTGAGCAATTTGGAAACAGTCCTTTTTTAGAATCTGCAAAGGGATATTTCTGAGCCCATTGAGGCCTAGGGTGAAAAAGAAATATCTTCACATAAAAACTGGACAGAAGCATTCTGAGAAACTTCTTTGTGATGTGTCCATTCATCTCACAGAGTTGAACCTTTCTTTGGATTGAGCAGTTTGGAAAAAGTCTTTTTGTAGTATTTGCAAAAAATATTTGTGAGCCCTTTATGGCCTATGGTGAAAAAGGAAATATCTTCACATAAAAACTAGACAGAAGCTTTCTGAGAAACTACTTTGTGATGTGTGCTTTCATCTCACAGAGGTGAACCTATCTTTTGAATGAGCACTTTGGAAACACTCTTTTTGTAGAGTCTGTAAATGGATATTTGGAACACTTTGAGGCCTATGGTGAAAAAGGAAATATCTTCAAATGAAAACCAGACAGAAACATTCTGAGAAACTTCTTTGTGATGTGTGTATTCATCTCACAGAGATGAACATTTCTTTGGATGCAGCAGTTTGGAAACAGTCTTTTTGTAGTATCTGCAGAGGAATATTCATGAGTGGATTAAGGCCTATGGTTAAAAAGAATATATCTTCACATAAAAAGCCGACAGATCCATTGTGAGAAACTTGTTTATGATGTGTGCATTCATCTCACAGAGCTGAAACTTTCTTTAGATTGAGCAGTTTTCTAAACAGTCCTTTCATAGAATCTGCAAAGGGATATTTCTGGGCCCATTGAGGCCTATGGTGAAAGAGGAAATATCTTCACATGAAAGCTAAACAGACGCTTTCTGAGAAACTTCTTTGTAATGTGTGCATTCATCACACAGAGTTGAACCTCTCTTTTGATTGAGCAGTTTGGAAGCAGTCTTTTTGTAGAATATGCAAAAGGATATTTGTGAGCCCTTTCAGGCCTATGGTGAAATAGGGAATATCTTCACAAAAAAAAACTAAACAGAAGCTTTCTGAGAAACTTCTTTGTGATGTATGTTTTCCTCTCACAGAGTTGAACTTTTCTTTTGATTGAGCAGTTTGGAAACAGTCTTTTTGTAGAATCTGAAGATGGATATTTGCAGTATTTTAGGCTTATGGTGAACAGGAAATATCTTCACATAAAAACTAGACAGAAGCATTCTGAGAAACTTCTTTGTGATGTCTGCATTCACATCACAGAGTTGAAACTTTCCTTGGATTGAGAAGTTTGGAAACAGTCCTTCTGTAGAATCTGCAAAGGGATATTTGTGAACCCATTGGGGCCTATGGTGAAATAGGAAATGTCTTTACATAAAAACTAGACAGAAGGTTTCTGAAAAACTACTTTGTGCTGTGTGCGTTCACCTCACAGAGTTGAACCTCTCTTTTGATTGAGCAGTTTGGAAACAGTCTTTTTGTAGAACTTGCAAACGAATATTTGGAGTGCTTTGAGGCCTATGGTGAAAAAGGAAATATCTGCATATAAAAACTAGACATAAACTTTCTGAGAAACTTCTTTGTGATGCATGCTTTCATCTCACAGATTTGGACCTTGCTTTTCATTGAGCAGTTTGACAACAATTCATTTTGTAGAATCTGCAAAGGGATATTTGTGAGTGGTTTGAGGCCTATGGTGAAAAAGGAAATACCTTCACATAAAAACTAGACAGAAGCATGCTGAGAAACTTCTCTGTGATGTGTGCATTCAACTCACACAGGTGAACGTTTCTTTAGATTGAGCAGTTTGGAAACAGTCCATTTTTAGAATCTGCAAAGGGATATTTCTGAGCCCATCGAGGCCTAGAGTGAAAAAGAAATATCTTCACATAAAAACTGGACAGATGCATTCTGAGAAACTTCTTTGTGATGTGTCCATTCATCTCACAGAGTTGAACCTTTCTTTGGATTGAGCAGTTTGGAAAAAGTCTTTTTGTAGAATTTGCAAAAAATATTTGTGAGCCCTTTATTGCTTATGGTGAAGTAGGAATTTTCTTCACATATAAACTAGACAGAAGCATTCTGAGAAACTTCTTTGTGATGTATGCATTCATCTCACAGAGTTGAAACTTTCTTTGGATTGAGCAGTTTGGAAACAGTCCTTCTGTAGAATCTGCAAAGGGATATTTCAGAGCCCATTGAGTACTATGGTGAAATGTGAAATATCTTCACATAAAAACTAGACAGAAGCTTTCTAAGAAACTTGTTTGTGATGTGTGCTTTCATCTCACAGAATTGAAACTTTCTTTTGATTGAGAACTTTGGAAACACTCTTTTTCTAGAATCTGCAAATGGATATTTGGAGTGCTTTGAGACCCATGGTGGAAAACGAAATATCTTCACATAAAAACTAAACAGAAGCTTTCTGAGAAACTTCCTTGTGATGTGTGGATTCATCTCACAGAGTTGAACCTTTCTTTTGATTGAAAAGGTTGGAAAGAGGCTTATTGTACAATCTGCAAAGGGATAATTCTGATCCATTTGTGGCCTATGGTGAAAGAGAAATATCTTCACGTAAAAACTAGACAGAGTCAGTCTGAGAATTTCCTTGTGACGTGTCCATTCATCTCACAGAGTTGAACCTTTCTTTTGATTAAGCAGTTTGGAAACAGTCTTTTTGTAGAACCTTCAAAGGGGTATGTGTGAGCCCTTTATGGCATCAGGTGAAATAGGAAATATCTTCACATACAAACTAGAGAGAAGCTATCTGAGTAACTTTTTTGTGATGTGTGCTTTCATCTCAGAGAGCTAAAAATTTGTTTTGATTGATCAGTTGGGAAACAGTCTTTTTGTAGAATCTGCAAATGGCTATTTGGATTGCTTTGAGGCCTATGTTGAGAAATGAAATATCTTCACATAAAAACAAGACAGAAGATTTCTGAGAAACTTCTTTGTTATCTGTGCACTCAACTCACATGTTTGAACCTTTCTTTTGATTGAGCAGTTTGGAAACCGTCTTTTTGTACAATCTACAAAGGGATACTTCTGAATGGTTTGATGTCTATGGTGAAAAAGAAATATCTTCACATAAAAACTAGATCAAAGCATTATGAGAAAGTAATTTATTATGTGTGCATTCATCTCACAGATCTGAAACTTTCTTTTCATGGAGCAGTTTGAAAACTGTGTTTTTGTACAGTCTGCAAAGGGATATTTTTGAGACCTTTGAGGCCTATGGTGATATAGGAAATATCTTCACAAAAAAAGTAGACAGAAGCATTATGAGAAACTTCTTTGTGATGTGTGCTTTCTTCTCACAGATTTCTTTTAATTGAACAGTTTGGAAACTCTTTTTTTTTTAGGTTCTGCAAAAGGATATTTGGAGCACTTTGAGGCCTATGGTGAAAAAGGAAATATCTTCACTTAAAAACTAAACAGAAGCTTTCTGAAAAACTTCTTTGTGATGTGCATATTCATGTCACAGTGTTGAACCCTTGTTTTCATTGAGCAGTTTGGAAACCATCTTTTTGTACAATCTGCAAAGGGATATTTCTGGGCAGTTTGAGGCCTAAGGTGAAAAACAAATATCTTAACATAAAAACTAGACAGAGGCATTCTGAGAAACTTCTTTTTCATGTGTGCATTCTTCTCCCAGAGTTAAACCATTCTTTTTTTATTATTATTATTATACTTTAAGTTTTAGGGTACAAGTGCACAATGTGCAGGTTACTTACATATGTATACATGTGCCATGCTGGTGCGCTGCACCCACTAACTCGTCATCTAGCATTAGGTATATCTCCCAATGCTATCCCTCCCCCTCCCCCCACCCCACAACAGCCCCAGAGTGTGATGTTCCCCTTCCTGTTGTCCATGTGTTCTCATTGTTCAATTCCACCTATGAGTGAGAATATGTGGTGTTTAGTTTTTTGTTCTTGCAATAGTTTACTGAGAATGATGATTTCCAATTTCATCCGTGTCCCTACAAAGGACATGCACTCATCATTTTTTATGGCTGCATAGTATTCCATGGTGTATATGTGCCACATTTTCTTAATCCAGTCTATCATTGTTGGACATTTGGGTTGGTTCCAAGTCTTTGCTATTGTGAATAATGCTGCAATAAACATACATGTGCATGTGTCTTTATAGCAGCACGATTTATAGTCCTTTGGGTATATACCCAGTAATGGGATGGCTGGGTCAAATGGTGTTTCTAGTTTTAGATCCCTGAGGAATCACCACACTGACTTCCACAATGGTTGAACTAGTTTACAGTCCCAACAACAGTGTAAAAGTGTTCCTATTTCTCCACATCTTCTCCAGCACCTGTTGTTTCCTGACTTTTTAATGATTGCCATTCTAACTGGTGTGAGATGGTATCTCATTGTGGTTTTGATTTGCATTTCTCTGATGGCCAGTGATGGTGAGCATTTTTTCATGTGTTTTTTGGCTGCATAAATGTCTTCTTTTGAGAAGTGTCTGTTCATGTCCTTTGCCCACTTTTTGATGGGGTTGTTTGTTTTTTTCTTGTAAATTTGTTTGAGTTCATTGTAGATTCTGGATATTAGCCCTTTGTCAGATGAGTAGGCTGCAAAAATTTTCTCCCATTTTGTAGGTTGCCTGTTCACTCTGATGGTAGTTTCTTTTGCTGTGCAGAAACTCTAGTTGAATTAGATCCCATTTGTCAATTTTGTCTTTTGTTGCCATTGCTTTTGGTGTTTTAGACATGAAGTCCTTGCCCATGCCTATGTCCTGAATGGTAATGCCTGGGTTTTCTTCTAGGGTTTTTGTGGTTTTAGGTGTAACATTTAAGTCTTTAATCCATCTTGAATTGATTTTTGTATAAGGTGTAAGGAAGGGATCTAGTTTCAGCTTTCTACATATGGCTAGCCAGTTTTCCCAGCACCATTTATTAAATAGGGAATCCTTTCCCCATTGCTTGTTTTTCTCAGGTTTGTCAAAGATCAGATAGTTGTAGATATGTGGCATTATTTCTGAGGGCTCTGTTCCGTTCCATTTATCTATATCTCTGTTTTGGGACCAGTATCATGTTATTTTGGTTACTGTTGCCTTGTAGTATAGTTTGAAGTCAGGTAGTGTGATGCCTCCAGCTTTGTTCTTTTGGCTTAGGATTGACTTGGCGATGTGGGCTCTTTTTTGGTTCCATATAAACTTTAAAGTAGTTTTTTCCAATTCTGTGAAGAAAGTGATTGATACCTTGATGGGGATGGCATTGAATCTGTAAATTACCTTGGGCAGTATGGCCATTTTCACAATATTGATTCTTCCTACCCATGAGCATGGAATGTTCTTCCATTTGTTTGTATCCTCTTTTATTTCCTTGAGCAGTGGTTTGTAGTTCTCCTTGAAGAGGTCCTTCACATCCCTTGTAAGTTGGATTCCTAGGTATTTTATTCTCTTTGAAGCAATTGTGAATGGGAGGTCACTCATGATTTGGCTCTCTGTCTGTTGTTGGTGTATAAGAATGCTTGTGATTTTTGTACATTGATTTTGTATCCTGAGACTTTGCTGAAGTTGCTTATCAGCTTAAGGAGATTTTGGGCTGAGACAATGGGGTTTTCTAGATATACAATCATGTCATCTGCAAACAGGGACAATTTGACTTCCCCTTTTCCTAATTGAATACCCTTTAATTACTTCTCCTGCCTAATTGCCCTGGCCAGAAGTTCCAACACTATGTTGAATAGGAGTGGTGAGAGAGGGCATCCCTGTCTTGTGCCAGTTTTCAAAGGGAATGCTTCCAGTTTTTGCCCATTCAGTATGATATTGGCTGTGGGTTTGTCATAGATAGCTCTTACTATTTTGAAATACATCCCATCAATACCTAATTTATGGAGAGTTTTTAGCATGAACAGTTGTTGAATTTTCTCAAAGCCTTTTCTATATCTATTGAGATAATCATGTGGTTTTTGTCTTTGGTTTTGTTTATATGCTGGATTACATTTATTGATTTGCATATATTGAACTAGCCTTGCATCCCAGGGATGAAGCCCACTTGATCATGGTGGATAAGCTTTTTGATGTGCTGCTGGATTCGGTTTGCCAGTATTTTATTGAGGATTTTTGCATCAATGTTCATCAAGGTTATTGGTGTAAAATTCTCTTTTTTGGTTGTTTCTCTCCCCGGCTTTGGTATCAGGATGATGCTGGCCTCATAAAATGAGTTAGGGAGGATTCCCTCTTTTTCTATTGATTGGAATAGTTTCAGAAGGAATGGTACCAGTTCCTCCTTGTACCTCTGGTAGAATTCGGCTGTGAATCCATCTGGTCCTGGACTCTTTTTCGTTGATAAGCTATTGATTATTGCCACAATTTCAGATCTTGTTATTGGTCTATTCAGAGACTCAAATTCTTTTTGGTTTAGTCTTGGGAGAGTGTATGTGTCGAGGAATTTATCCATTCCTTCTAGATTTTCTAGTTTATTTGCATAGAGGTGTTTGTAGTATTCTCTCATGATAGTTTGTATTTCTGTGGGATCAGTGGTGATAACCCATTTATCATTTTTTATTGCATCTATTTGATTCTTCTCTCTTTTTTTCTTTATTAGTCTTGCCAGCGGTTTATCAATTTTGTTGATCCTTCAAAAAACCAACTCCTGGATGCATTAATTTTTTGAAGGGTTTTTTGTGTCTCTATTTCCTTCCGTTCTGCTCTGATTTTAGTTATTTCTTGCCTTCTGCTAGCTTTTGAATGTGTTTTCTCTTGCTTTTCTAGTTCTTTTAGTTGTGATGTTAGGGTATCAATTTTGGATCTTTCCTGCTTTGTCTGGTGGGCATTTAGTGCTATAAATTTCCCTCTACACACTGCTTTGAATGCATCCCAGAGATTCAGGTATGTTTTGTCTTTGTTCTCGTTGGTTTCAAAGAACATCTTTATTTCTGCCTTCATTTCGTTATGTACCCAGTAGTCATTCAGGAGCAGGTTGTTCAGTTTCCATGTAGTTGAGCGGTTTTGAGTGAGATTCTTAATCCTGAGTTCTAGTTTGATTGCACTGTGGTCTGAGAGATAGTTTGTTATAATTTCTGTTCTTTTACATTTGCTGAGGAGAGCTTTACTTCCAAGTATGTGGTCAATTTTGGAATAGGTGTGGTGTGGTGCTTAAAAAAATGTATATTCTGTTGATTTGGGGTGGAGAGTTCTGTAGATGTCTATTAGGTCCCCTTGGTGCAGAGCTGAGTTCAATTCCTGGGTATCCTTCTTGACTTTCTGTCTCATTCATCTGTCTAATGTTGACAGTGAGGTGTTAAAGTCTCCCATTAGTAATGTGTGGGAGTCTAAGTCTCTTTGTAGGTCACTCAGGACTTGCTTTATGAATCAGGGTGCTCCTGTTTTGGGTCCATATATATTTAGGATAGTTAGCTCTTCTTGTTGAATTGATCACTTGACCATTATGTAATGGCCTTTTTGTCTCTTTTCATCTTGGTTGGTTTAAAGTCTGTTGTATCAGAGACTAGGATTGCAACCCCTGCCTTATTTTGTTTTCCATTTGCTTGGTAGATCTTCCCCCACCCTTTTATTTTGAGCCTATGTTTATCTCTGCACGTGAGATGGGTTTCCTGAATATAGCACACTGATGGGTCTTGACTCTTTATCCAATTTGCCAGTCTCTGTCTTTTAATTGGAGCATTTAGTCCATTTACATTTAAAGTTAATATTGTTATGTGTGAATTTGAACCTGTCATTATGATGTTAGCTGGTATTTTGCTCGTTAGCTGATGCAGTTTCTTCCTAGTCTCGATGGTCTTTACATTTTGGCATGATTTTGCAGCAGCTGGTACCGGCTGTTCCTTTCCATGTTTAGTACTTCCTTCAGGAGCTCTTTTAGGGCAGGCCTGGTGGTGACAAAATCTCTCAGCATTTGCTTGTCTGAAAAGAATTTTATTTCTCCTTCACATATAAACAAGACAGAAGCATTCTCAGAAACTTCTTTGTGATGTTTGCATTAAACTCACAGAGTTGAATATAACTTTTTATAAAGCAGTATTGAAAAATTCTTTTCTTAGAATCTGCAAGTGGACATTTGGACTGCTTTGAGGCCTCCATGGGAAACAGGAATATCTTCTCATAAAAACTGGACACAAGCATTCTCAGAAACTTCTCTGTGATGTGTTCATTCAACTTATAGATTTAAACATACCTTTTCATAGAGCAGTTTTGAAACTCTCTTTTTGTAGAATCTGCAAGTGGGTGTTTGGACTGCTTTGAGGTCTTCGTTGGAAATGGGAATATCTTCACATAAAAACTAGACAGAAGCATTCTCAGAAACATCTTTGTGATGTGTGCATTTAACTCACAGAGCTGAACCTTTCTTTCTTTTGATAGAGCAGTTTTGAAATCCTCTTTTTGTAGAATCTGCAAGTGGACATTTGGAAAGCTTTGAGGCCTATAGTGGAAAAGGAAATATCTTCACATAAAAACTAGACAGAAGCATTCTCAGAAACTTCTTTGTGATGATTGCATTCAACTCACAGAGTTGAACATACATTTTCATAGAGCAGTTTTAAAACACTCTTTCCTTAGAATCTGCAAGTGGATATTTGCACCACTTTGAGGACTTCGTTGGAAACGGGAAGATCTTCAAATAAAAACTGGACGGAAGCATTCTCAGAACCTCCTTTGTGATGTGTGCATTAAACTCACAGAGCTAAAACTTTTTTTGATAGAGTAGTTTTGAAACACTCTTTTTGTAGAATCTGCAATTTGACATTTGGAGAGCTTTGAGGCCTATGGTGGAAAACGAAATATCTACACATAAAAACTAGACAGAAGCATTCTGAATAACTTCTTTTTGATGTTTGCATTCGACTCACAAAGGTGAACATATCTTTTCATAGAGCAGTTTTGAAACACTCTTTTCGTAGTATATGCAAGTGGATATTTGGACTACTTTGAGGCCTTCGTTGGAAACGGGAATATCTTCACATAAAAATTAGACAAAAGGATTCTCAGAAACTTATTTATGATGTGTGCATTGAACTCACAGATTTGAACCTTTCTTTTCATAGAGCAGTTTTGAAACACTGTATTCGTAGTATATGCAAGTGGATATTTGGACTACTTTGAGGCCTTCGTTGGAAATGGGAATATCTTCACATAAAAACTAGACAGAAGCATTTTCAGAAACTCCTTTGTGATATGTGCATTCAACTCACAGAGTTGAACATACCTATTCATAGAGCAGTTTTGAAACACTCTTCGTAGAATATGAAAGTGTATATTTAAACTGCTTTGAGGCCTTCTTTGGAAACGGGAATATCTTCACATAAAAATTAGACAAAAGGATTCTCAGAAACTTCTTTGTGATGTGTGCACTCAACTCACAGATTTGAACCTTTCTTTTCATAGAGCAGTTTTGAAACACTCTCTTCGTAGAATCTGCAAGTGGATATTTGGACTGCTTTGAGGCCTTCGTTGGAAAAGGGAATATCTTGACATAAAAAGTAGACAGAAGCATTCTCAGAAACTTCTTTGTGATGTGTGCATTCAACTCATAGAGTTGAACATACCTTTTAATAGAGCAGTTTCAAAACACTCTTTTCGTATAACCTTCAAGTGTATATTTGGATTGCTTTGAGGCTTATGGTGGAAAAGTAAATATCTACACAGAAAATCTAGAGAGAAGCATTCTCAGAAACTTCTTTGTGATGTTTGCATTCAACTCACAGAGTTGAACTTACCTGTTCATAGAGCAGTTATGAAACACTCTTCTAGTAGAATCTGTAAGTGGATATTTGGAATGCTTTGAGGCCTTCATTGGAAACGGGAATATCTTCACATAAAAACAAGACGGAAGCATTCAAAGTAACTTATTTGTGATATGTGCATTCAAGTCACAGAGTTGAACCTTTCTTTTGATAGAGCAGTTTTGAAACACTCTTTTTGTAGAATCTGCAAGGGGACATTTGGAGAGCTTTGAGGCCTATGGTGGAAAAGTAAATATCTACACATAAAATCCAGACAGAAGCATTCTCAGAAATTTCTTTGTGATGTTTGCATTCAACTCACAGAGTTGAACTTACCTGTTCATAGAGCAGTTATGAAACACACTTCTCGTAGAATCTGCAATTGGATATTTGGACTGCTTTGAGGCCTTCCTTGGAAACGGGAATGTCTTCCCATAAAAACTAGGCAGAAGCATTCTCAGAAACTTCATTGTGATGTGTGCATTTAACTCACAGATTTGAACCTTTCTTTTGATAGAGCAGTTATGAAACACTCTTTTTGTAGAATCTGCAAGTGGACATTTGGAAAGATATGAAGCCTATGGTGGAAAAGAAAATATTTTCACATAAAAATTAGACAGAAGCATTCTCAGAAACTCCTTTGTGATGGGCGCACTCAACTCACAGATTTGAATCTTTCTTTTGATAGAGCTGTTTTGAAATACTCTTTTTGTAGAATCTCCAAGTGGACATTTGAGAGCTTAGAGGCCTACTCTGGAAAATGAAATATCTTGCAGTAAAACTAGACACAAGCATTCTCAAAAACTTCTTTGTGAGGTTTGCATTCAACTCACAGAGTTGAACATTTCTTTTGATAGAGCTGTTTTGAAACAAACTTTTTCTAGAACCTGCAATTGGACATTTGGAGAGCTTTGAGGCGTATGGTGGAAAAGGAAATATCTTCACATAAAAATCAGACAGAAGCATTTTCAGAATCTTCTTTGTGATTTTTGCATTCAACTCACAGATTTGAACACACATTTTCAAAGAGCAGTTATTAAACACTCTTTACGTAGAATGTGCAGGTGGATATTTGGACTGCTTTGAGGTCTTGGGTGGAAATAGGAATGTCGTCACATAACAACTAGACAGAAGCATTCTGAGAAGCGGCTTTGTGATGTGTGCATTCAACTCACAGAGTTGAACTTTTCTCTTGATAGAGCAGTTTTGAAACACTCTTTTTGTAGAATATGCAAGAGAACCTTTGGAGTGCTTTGAGGCCTTTGGTGAAAAAGGATATATCTTCACATAAAAACTAGACAGAAGCATTCTCAGAAACTTCTTTGTGATGTTAGCATTCAACTCACATAGTTGAACACATCTTCTCGTAGAGCAGTTTTGAAACACTCTTTTCGTTGAATCTGCAATTGGATATTTGGACTGCTTTGAGGCCTTCGTTGGAAACGGAAATATATTCACATAAAAACTAGACAGAATCATTCTCAGAAACTTATTTGAGATGTGTGCATTCAACTCACCGAGTTGAACCTTTCTTTTGATAGAGCAGCTTTGAAACACTCTTTTTGTAGGATGTGCAAGTGGACATTTGTAGAGCTTTGAGGCCTATTGTGGAAAAGGAAATATCTTCACATAAAAACCAGACAGAAGCATTCTCAGAAACTTCTTCGTGATGTTTGCATTCATCTCACAGAGTTGAACATACCTTTTCATAGAGCAGTTTTGAGACACTCTTTTCTTAGAATCTGAAAGTGGATTTTTGGACCACTTTGAGGACTTTGTTGGAAACGGAAATATCTTCACATAAAAACTAGACAGAAGCATTCTCAGAAATGTCTTTGTGATGTTTGCATTCAACTCTCAGAGTTGAACACACCTTTTCATAGAGCAGTTTTGAAACACTCTTTTCGTAGAATCTGCAGGTGGATATTTGGACTGCTTTGAGGCCTTGGTTGGAAACGGGAATGTCGTCACAGAAAAACTAGACAGAAACATTCTCAGAAACGACTCTGTGATGTGTGCATTCAACTCACAGAGTTGAACTTTTCTCTTGATAGAGCAGTTTTGAAACACTAATTTTGTAGAATCTGCATGAGAACCTTTGGAGTGCTTTGAGGCCTTTAGTGGAAAAGAATATATCTTCACATAAAAACAAGAGAGAAGCATTCTCAGAAACTACTTTTTGATGTTTGCATTCAACTCTCAGAGTCAAACATACCTTTTAAGAGAGCAGTTTTGAAACACTCTTTTTGTTGAATCTGCAAGTAGATATTTGGACTGCTTTGAGGCTTTCGTTTGAAAGGGAAACATTTTCACATTAAAACTAGACAGAAGCATTCTCAGAAACTTCTTTGTGATGTGCGCATTCAACTCACAGAGTTGAACCTTTCTTTTGATAGAGCAGTTTTGAAACACTCTTTTTGTACAATATCCAAGTGGACATTTGGAGCACTTTGAGGCCTATGGTGGAAAAAGGAAATATCTTCACATAAAAACTAGACAAAAGCATTGTCAGACTTCTTTGTGATGTTTTCATTCAACTCACAGAGTTGAACATACCTTTTCATAGAGCAGATTTGAAACACTCTTTTTATAGTATCTGCAAGGTTATATTTGGACTGCTTTGAAGCCTTTGTTGGAAATGGGAATATCTTCACATAAAAATTAGATAGAAGCATTCTCAGAAACTTCTTTGTGATGTGTGCTGTCAACTCACAGATATGAAACTTCTTTTGATAGAGCAGTTTTGGAACACTCTTTTGTAGAATCTCCAAGTGAACATTTGGAAAGCTTTGAGGCCTACTGTGGAAAAGGATATATCTTCACATAAAACTAGACAGAAGCATTCTGAGAAACATCTTAGTGATGTTTGCATTCAACTCACAGAGTTGAACATAATTTTTCATAGAGCAGTTTTGAAACACTCTTTTAGTAGAATCTACAAGTGGATATTTGGACTGCTTTGAGGCCTTTGATGGAAACGGGAATATCTTCACAGAAAAACAAGAAAGAAGCATTCTCAGAAACTTCTTTGTGATGTGTGCATTCAACTCAGAGAGCTGAACCTTTCTTTTGACAGAGCTCTTTTGAAACACACTTTTTGTAGAACCTGCAAGTGTACATTTGGAGAGCTTTGAGGCCCATCGTGGAAAAGGAAATATCTTCACATAAAAACAGACAGAAGCATTCTCAGAAACTTCTTTGTGAGGTTTGCATTCTACTTACAGAGTTGAACTTACCTTTTCATAGAGCAGTTTTGAAACGCTCTTTTCGTAGAACCTTCAAGAGGATATTTTTACAGCTTTGAGGCCTTCGTTGAAAACGGGAATATCTTCACATGAAAACTAGACAGAAGCATTCTCAGAAATTTCTTTGTAATGCGTGCATTCAACTCACAGATTTGAACTTTTTTTTAGAGCAGTTTTGAAACACCCTTTTTGTAGAATCTGCAAGTGGACATTTGGAAAGCTTGGAGGCCTGTGGTTGAAAAGAAAATATCTTCATATAAAAACCAGAAAGAAGCATTCAAAGAAACTTCTTTGTGATGTGTGCATTCAAATCACAGAGTTGAACATAACTTTTCATGGAGGAGTTTTGAAACACTCTTCTCGTAGAATCTGCAAGTCGATATTTTGACTGCTTTGAGACCTTCTATGGAAATGGGAAAATCTTCACATAAAAACTAGACAGAAGCATTCTCAGAAACTTCTTTGTGATGTGTGCATTCAAATCACAGAGTTGAACCTTTCTTTTCATAGAGCAGTTTTGAAACACTCTTTTTGTAGGATCTGCTAGTGGATATTTGGAGAACTTTGAGGCCTATTGTGGAAAATGAAATATCTTCACATAAAAACCAGACAGAAGCATTCTCAGAAACTTATTTGTGATGTTTCCATTCAACTCACGGAGTTGAACATACTTTTTTATAGAACAGTTTTGAAACACTCTTTTCGTAGGATCTGCAAGTGGATATTTGAACTTCTTTTAGGCCTTCTTTAAAAAAGGGAATAACTTCAATTAAAAATTAGAAGCATTCTAAGAAACTTCTTTGTGACGTGTGCATTGAACCCACAGAGTTGAAACTTTCTTTTAATGGAGCAGTTTTGAAACACTCTTTCTGTAGAATCTGCAAGTGGACTTTAGGAGAGCTGTGAGGACTTTGGTGGAAAATGAAATATATTCATAAAAACTAGACAGAAGCATTCACAGAAGTTTCTTTGTGATGTTTGCATTCAACCGACAGCGTTAAACATACCTTTTCATAGAGCAGTTTTGAAACTCTCTTTTCGTAGAATCTGCAATTGGATATTTGGACTGTTTGAGGTGTTTGTTGTAAAAGAGAATATCTTTACATAAAAACTAGACAGAAGCATTCTCAGAAACTTCCTTGTGATGTGTGCATTCAACGCAGACAGTTGAACCTTTCTTTTGATAGAACAGTTTTGAAACTCTCATTTTCCAGTATCTGCAATTGGACATTTGGAGAGCTTTGAGACCTATCGTGGAAAAGGAAATATCTACAAATGAAAACCAGACAGAAGCATTCTCAGAAACTGCTGTGTGATGTTTGCAATCAACTCACAGAGTTGAGCATACCTTTTCACAGAGCAGTTTTGAAACACTCTTTTCGCAGTATCTGCAAGGGGGTATTTAGACTGTTTTGAGGCCTTTGTTGGAAATGGGAATATCTTCACATAAAAACTAGACAGAAGAATTCTGAGAAACTTCTTTGTGATATGTGCATTCAATTCACAGAGTTGAACCTTTCCTATGATAGAGCAGTTTTGAAACATTCTTTTTGTAGTATGTGCAAGTGGACATTTGGAGAGCTTCGAGGCCTATGGTGGAAAAGGAAATATATTCACATGAAAACAAGACAGAAGCATTCTCTGAAACTTCTTTGTGATGTTTGCATTCAAATCACAGATTTGAACATAGCTTTTCATAGAGCAGTTTTGAAACACTCTTTTCGCAGAATCTGCTAGTGGATATTTGGACTGCTTTGAGGCCTTCGTTGGAAACGGGAATATCTACCCATAAGAACTAGACAGACCCATTCTCACAAACTTCTTTGAGATGTGTGGATTCAACTTACAGAGTTGAAACTTTCTTTTGTTAGAGCAGTTTTGAAACACTCTTTTTGTAGAATCTGCAAGTGGACATTTGGAAAACTTTGAGACCTATGGTAGAAAAGAAAATATCTTCACATAAAATCCAGATAGAAGCATTCTCAGAAACTTCTTTGTGATCTTTGCCTTCAAAACACAGAGGTGAACTTACGTTTTCATAGAGCAGTTTTGAAACATTCTTTTCGTAGAATCTGCAAGTGGATATTTTGATGGCATTGAGGCCTTCGTTGGAAATGGGAATATCTTCACATAAAAACTACACAGAAGCATTCTCAGAAACTTCTTTGTGATGTCTGCATTCAACTCACAGAGTTGAGCCTATCTTTTGATAGAGTAGTTTTGAAACAATGTTTTTGAATATTCTACAAGTGGACATTTGGAGAGCTTTGAGGCATACGGTGGAAAGGAAATATCTTCACATAATAATTAGACAGAAGCATTCTCAGAAATTTTTATGATGTCTGCATTCAACTCACAGAGCTGAACATGCCTTTTCATGGAGCAGTTTTGAAACAATCTTTTCGTAGAATCTGCAAGTGGATATTTTTACTGCTTTGAGGCCTTCGTTGGAAACGAGAATATCTTCACATAAAAACTAGACAGAAGCATTATCAGAAACTTCTTTGTGATGTGTACATTGAACTCACAGATTTGAAAGTTTATTTTAATGGAGCAGTTTTGAAACACACTTTTTGTAGAATCTGCAAGTAGACTTTAGGAGAGCTGTGAGGACTTTGGTGGAAAACGAAATATATTCACAAAAACTAGACAGAAGCATTCACAGAAATTTCTTTGTGATGTTTGCATTCAACCGACAGCGTTAAATATACCTTTTCACAGAGCAGTTTTGAAACACTCTTTTCGTGGAATCTGCAAGTGGATATTTGGACTGCTTTGACGCCTTCATTTGAAATGGGAATATCTTCACTTAAAAACTAGATAGAAGCATTCTGAGAAACTTCTTTGTGATGTGTGCATTCAACTCATAGATTTGAAACTTTCTTTTGATAGAGCAGTTTTGAAACACTCTTTTTGTAGAATCTGCAAGTGGACATTTGGAATGCTTTGAGGCTTATGGTGGAAAAGGAAATATCTTCACATAAAAACTAGAAAGAAGCATTCTCAGAAACTTCTTTGTGATGTGTGTATTCAACTCACGGAGTTGAACCTTTCTTTTGATAGAGCAGTTTTGAAACACTCATTTTGCAGAATCTACAAGTGGTCATTTGGAGAGCTTTGAGGCCTATGGTGGAAGTAAATATCTTCACATATAAATTAGACAGAAGCATTCACAGAAACTTCTTTCTGATGCTTGCATTCAACTCACAGAGTTGAACATACCTTTTCATACAGCAGCTTTGAAACACTCTTTTCGTGGAATCTGCCAGTGGATATTTGGACTGCTTTGAGGCCTTCGTTGGAAACAAGAATATCTTCACATAAAAACTAGACAGAAGCATTCTCAGAAACTTGTGATTTGTGCATTCAACTCACAGAGTTGAAACTTTCTTTTGATAGAGCAGTTTTGAAACACTCATTTTGTAGAATCTGCAATGGGCATTTGTAGAGCTTTGAGGCCTATGGTGGAAAGGAAATAGATTCACATAAAAACCAGACAGAAGCATTCTCAGAAACTTCTTTGTCATGTTTGCATTCAACTCACAGAATTCAACATACCTTTTCATAGAGCAGTTTTGAAAAACTCTTTTCATAGAAACTGCAAGTGGTTATTTGGACTGCTTTGAGGCCTTCGTTGGAAACAGGAATATCTACATAAAAACTAGACAGAAGCATTCTCAGAAACTTGTGATTTGTGCATTCAACTCACAGAGTTGAAACTTTCTTTTGATAGAGCAGTTTTGAAACACTCATTTTGTAGAATCTGCAATGGGCATTTGTAGAGCTTTGAGGCTTATGGTGGAAAGGAAATAGATTCACATAAAAACCAGACAGAAGCATTCTCAGAAACTTCTTTGTCATGTTTGCATTCAACTCACAGAATTCAACATACCTTTTCATAGAGCAGTTTTGAAAAACTCTTTCCGTAGAATCTGCAAGTGGTTATTTGGACTGCTTTGAGGCCTTCGTTGGAAACAGGAATATCTACATAAAAACTAGACAGAAGCATTCTCTGAAACTTCTTTGTGATGTGTGCATTCAATTCACAGAGTTGAACATAGCTTTTCATGGAGCAGTTTTGAAACACTCTTTTTGTAGAATCTGCAATAGACGTTTTGAAAGCTTTGAGGACTACGTTGGAAAAGAAAATATCTTCACATAAAAAATAGACAGAAGCATTCTCCGAAACTTCTTTCTGATATTTGCATTCAATTCAAAGATTTGACCATACTTCTTCATAGAGCTGTTTTGAATCACTTTTTTCTTAGGATCTGCAAGTGGACATTTGGAGAGGTTTGAGGGCTATAGTGGAAAAGTAAATATCTTCACATGAAAACTAGACATAAGCATTCTCAGAACCTACTTTGTGATGTTTGCATTCACCTCACAGACTTGAACATACCTTTTCATAGAGCAGTTTTCAAACTCTCTTTTCGTAGCATCTGCAAGTGGATATTTAGAATTCATTGAGGCCTTCATTGTAATCGGGAATATCTTCACATAAAAATTAGACAGAAGCATTCTCAGAAACTTCTTTGTGATGTGTGCATTCAACTCACAGAGTTGAACCTTTCTTTTGATAGATCAGTTTTGAAACACTCTTTTTGTAGTATCTGCAAGTGGACATTTTGAAAGCTTTGAGGCCTAAGGTGGAAATGGAAATATCTTCATATAAAAATCAGACAGAAGCATTCTCAGAAACTTCTTTGTGATGTTTGCATTCAACTCACAGAGTTGAACCTTTGTTTTGATAGAGCAGTTTTGAAACAATATTTTTGTAGAATCTGCAATTGTACATTTGGAGAGCTTTGAGGCTTATGGTGGAAAAGGAAATATCTTCACATAAAAATTAGACAGAAGCATTCTCTGAAACTTCTTTGTGATGTTTGCATTAAACTCACAGCATTTAACTTACTTTTTTATGGAGCAGTTTTGAAACACTCTTTTTGTAGAATCTGCAAGTGGATATTTGTACTGCTTTGAGGCCTTTGCTGGAAACGGGAATATCTTCACATAAAAACTACACAGAAGCATTCTCAGAAACTTCGTTGTGATGTATGCATTCAACTCAGAGAGTTGAAACTTTCTTTTGATAGAGCAGTTTTGAAACACTCTATTCGTAGAATCTGCAAGTGAATATTTGGACTGCTTTGAGGACTTCTTTGGAAACGGGAATATCTACGTACAAAAACTAGACAGAGGCATGCTCAGAAACTTCGTTGTGATGTATGCATTCAACTCAGAGAGTTGAAACTTTCTTTTGATAGAGCAGTTTTGAAACACTCTATTCGTAGAATCTGCAAGTGAATATTTGGACTGCTTTGAAGACTTCTTTGGAAACGGGAATATCTACGTACAAAAACTAGACAGAGCCATGCTCAGAAACTTTTTTGTGATGTGTGCATTCAACTCACAGAGTTGAATCTTTCTTTTGGTAGAGCAGTTTTGAACCACTCATTTTGTAGAATCTGCAGTGGACATTTGCAGAGCTTTGAGGCCTATGGTTGAAAGGAAATATCTTCACATAAAAACTAGAAAGAAGCATTCTCAGAGACTTCCTTGTGATGTTTTCATTCAACTCACAGAGTTGAACATACCTTTTCATAGAGCAGTTTGGAAACACTCTTTTCATAGAATCTGCAAGTGGATATTTGGACTGCTTTGAGGCCTTCATTGGAAACGGAATATCTTCACATAAAAACTAGACAGAAGCTTTCTCAGAAACTTCTTTGTGATGTGTGTATTAAAATCACAGAATTGACCTCTCTTTTGATAGAGAAGTTTTGAAACACTCTTTCTGTAGAATATGCAAGTGAACATTTGGAAAGATTTGTGGCGTATGGTGGAAAAGGAAATATCTTCATATAAAAACCAGACATAAGCATTCTCAGAAACATTTTTGTGATGTTTGCATTCAACTCATGGAGTTGAATATGCCTTTTCATACAGCTGTTTTGAAACACGCTTTTCATAGAATCTACAAGTGGATATATGGACTGCTTTGAGGCCTTCGTTGGAAACGGGAATATCTTCACATAAAAACTAGACAGAAGCTTTCTCAGAAACTTCTTTGTGATGTGTGCATTAAAATCGCAGAGTTTAACCTTTCTTTTGATAGACAAGTTTTGAAACACTCTTTTTGTAGAATCAAGAAGTGAACATTTTGGCGGAAACGGAAATATATTCACATAAAAAGTAGACAGAAGCATTCTCAGAAATTTCGCTGTGTTTACATTCAACTCACAGATTTGAACATAACTTTTTTTAGAGCAGTTTTGAAAGACACTTTTCATGGAATCTGCAAGTGGATATTTGGACTGCTTTGAGTACTTTGTTGGAAACGGGAATATCTACATATAAAAACTAGACGGAAGCATGCTCACAAACTACTTTGTGATGTCTGCATTCAACTAACAATTTTGAACTTTTCTTTTGATAGAGCAGTTTTGAACCACTCATTTTGCAGAATCTGCAGTGGATATTTGGAGAGCTTTGAGTCTTATGGTTGAAAGGAAATAACTTCACATAAAAACTTGAAAGAAGCATTCTCGGAAACTACTTTTTGACATTTGCATTCAACTCACAGAGTTGAACATACGTTTTCAGAGAGCAGTTTTGAAACACTCTTTTCGTAGAATCTGCAAGTGAATATTTGGACTGCTTTGAGGCCTTCATTGGAAACGGGAATATATTCACGTAAAAACTAGACAGAAGCATTCTAAGAAACTTCTTTATGATGTGTGCATTCAACTCAGCGGGTTGAAACTTTATTTTGATAGAGCAGTCTTGAAACACTCTTTTTGTAGAATCTGCAAGTGGATATTTGGACTGCTTTGAGGCCTTCATTGGAAAAGGGAATAACTTCATATAAAAACTAGACAGAAGCATTCTCAGAAACTTCTTTGTTATGTGTGCATTCTACTCACAGAGTTTAACCTTTCTTTTTACAGAGCAGTTTTGAAACACTCTTTTTGTAGAATCTGCAAGTGCACATTTGGAGAGCTTTGAGACCTATGGTAGAAAAGGAAATATCTTCACATAAAAACTAGACAGAAGCATTCTGTTTGCATTCAACTCACAGAGTTGAACATACCTTTTCATAGAGCAGTTTTGAAAACACTCTTTTCGTACAATCTGCAAGTGTATATTTGAACTGCTTTGAGGTCTTCGTTGGAAACGGGAATATCTTCACATAAAAACTAGACAGAAGCATTATCAGAAACTTCTTAGTGATGTTTGCATTCATCTCACAGATTTGAATCTTTCTTTTGATCGAGCACTTTTGAAACACTCTTTTTGTAGAATCTGTAAGTGGACATTTGAAGGGCTTTGAGGTCTATGGTGGAAAAGGAAATATCTTCACATAAAAGGTAGACAGAAGAATTCTCAGGAAATTCTTCATGATGGTTGCATTCAACTCACAGAGTAAAACATACCTTTTCATAGAGCAGTTTTGAAACACTCTTTTCATAGAATCTGCAAGTGGATATTTGGACTGCTTTGAGGCCTTCATTGGAAACGGGTATATCTTCACATAAAAACTAGACAGAAGCATTCTCAAAAAATTCTTTGTGATGTGTGCATTCGAATCACAGAGGTGAACTTTTCTTCTTATAGAGTAGTTTTGAAACACTATTTTTTTAGTATCTGCCAGTGGACATTTGGAAAGCTTTGAGGCCTGTGGTGGAACAGGAAATATCTTCACATAAAAACCAGACAGAAGCATTTTGAGAAATTTCTTTGCAATATTTGCATTCAACTCACAGAGCTGAAAGTACTTCTTAATACAGCAGTTTTGAAACACTCTTTTTGTAGAATCTGCCAGTGGATATTTGGACGGCTTTGAGGCCTTCATTGGAAATGAGAATATCTACACATAAAAAGTAGATAGAAGCATTCTCAGAAACTTCTTAGGAATGTGTGTATTCATCTCACAGAATTTATCATTTCTTTTGATAGAGAAGTTTTGAAACACTCTTTTTATAGAATCTACAAGTGGACATTTGGAGTGCTTTGAGGCCTATGGTGGAAAAGGAAATATCTTCACATAAAAACTAGATAGAACCATTCTCAGAAACTTCTTTGTGATGTGTGCACTCAACTCATGGAGTTGAACCTTTCTTTTTATAGAGCAGTTTTCAAACACTCTTTTTGTAGAGTCTGCAAGTGGACATTTGAAGAGCTTTGAGGCCTTTGGTGGAAAAGGAAATATCTTCACATAAAAAGTAGAAAGAAGCATTCTCAGAAACTTCTCTGTAATGTTTGCATATAACTCATGGAGTTGTATGCAAACATTACAGAGTATACACAAAGGAGTATACCTTTTCGTAGAGCAGTTTTGAAACACTCTTTTTGTAGTATCTGTAAGTGGATATTTTTGACTGCTTTGAGGCCTCCGACAGAAACGGGTATATCTTCAAATAAAAACTAGACAGAAGCAATCTCATGAACTTCTTTGTGATGTGTGCATTCAGCTCACGGAGTTGAACCTTTCCTCTGATAGAGCAGTTTAGAAACTCTCTTTTTGTAGAATCTGCAAGTGGACATTTGGAGAGCATTGAGGTCTATGGTGGAAAAGGAAATATGTTCACATAAAAACTGGACAGAAGCATTCTCAGAACCTTCTTTGTGATGTTTGTATTCAACACACAGTGTTGAACATACCGCTTCATAGAGCTGTTTGAAACTCTCTTTTCGTAGAATCTGAAAGTGGATATTTGGACTGCTTGGAGGCCTTCGTTGGAAACGGGAATATCTTCACATAAAAACTAGACAGAAGCATTCTCAGAAACTTCTTTGTGATGTGTGCATTCAACTCACAGAGTTGTATCTTTCTTTTGATAGAGCAGTTTTTAAACACTCTTTTTGTAGAATCTGCAAGTGGACATTTGTAAAGCTTTGAGGTCAATGGTGGAAAAGGAAATATCTTCACAAAGAAACAAGACAGAAGCATTCTCAGAAGCTTCTTTGCGATGTTTGCATTCAACTCACAGAGTTGAAAATTCCTCCTCATAGAGCAGTTTTGAAACACTCTTTTTGTATAATCTGCCAGTGGATATTTGGACTGCTTTGAGGCCTTCGTTGGAAACGGGAATATCTACACATAATAACTAGATAGAAGCATTCTCAAAAACTACTTTGTGATGTGTGCATTCAACTCACAGAGTTGAACCTTTCTTTAGATAGAGCAGTTTTGAAACAATCTTTTTGTAGTATCTGCAAGTGGACATTTGGAATCCATTGAGGCCTATGGTGGAAATGAAATATCTTCACATAAAAACTAGATAGAAGCATTCTCAGAAACTTCATTGTGATGAGTGCATTCAACTAACAGAGTTGAACCTTTCTTTTGATAGAGCAGTTTTCAAACACTGTTTCTGTAGGATCTTCAAGTGGATATTTCGAGATCTTTAAGACCTGTGGTGGGAAAGGAAACATCTTCACATGAAAACTTGACAGAAGCATTCTCAGAACCTTCTTTGTGATGTTTGTATTCAACTCACAGAGTTGAATATAACTTTTCAAAGTGCAGTTTAGAAACACTCTTTTCGTAGGTTCTGCCAGTGGATATTTTTACTGCTTTTAGGCCTCCGTTGGAAACGGGAATATCTTCATATAAAAACTAGACAGAAGTATTCTCAGAAACTTCTTTGTGATGTGTGCATTCAACTGAGAGTTGAACCTTTCTTTTGATAGAGCAGTTTTCAAACACAGTTTCTGTAGGATCTGCAAGTGGACATTTTGAGAGCTTTAAGGCCTGTGGTGGGAAAGGAAATACCTTCACATAAAAACTAGACAGAAGCATTCTCAGAACCTTCTTTGTGATGTTTGCTTTCAACTCACAGAGTTGAACGTACCTTTTCATTGAGCAGTTTTGAAACACTCTTTTTGCAGAATCTGCAAGTGGACATTTTGATAGCTTAAAGGCGTATGGTGGAAAAGGAAATATTTTCATCAAAAAAACAGACAGAAGCATTTTCAGAAAATTCTTTATGATGTTTGCATTCAACTCACAGAGTTGAACATACGTTTTCATAGAGCAGTTATGAAACACTCTATTCGTAGAATCTGCAAGTGCATATTTGTACTGCTTTGAGGCCTTCTTTGGAAACGGGAATATGTTCACATAAAAACTAGAAAGAAGAATTCTCAGAAACTTCTTTGTGATGTGTGAATTCAACTCACATGGTTGAACCTCTCTTTTGATAGAGCAGCTTTGAAACACTGTTTTTGTAGGGTCTGCAAGTGGACATTTGAAGAGCTTTAAGGCCTGCGGTGGAAAAGGAAATATCTTCACATAAAAACTAGACAGAAGCCTTCTCAGAACCATCTTTGTGATGTTTGCATTCAACTCACATAGTTGAACATACCTTTTCATAGATCAGTTTTGAAACACTCTTTTCGTAGGATCTGAAAGTGGATATTTCAACTGCTTTGAGGCCTTTTTTGCAAACGGGAATATATTCACATAAAAACTAGACAGAAGCATTCTCAGAAACTACTTTGTGATGTTTGCATTCAACTCACAGAGTTGAACATACCTTTTCATAGAGCAGTCTTGAAAAACTCTATTCGTACAATCTGCAAGTGGATATTAGGACTGCTTTTAGGCCTTCATTGGAAACGGGAATAGCTTCACAAAAACTAGATAGAAGCATTCTCAGAAACTTCTTTCTGATGTGTGCATTCAATTGACAGAGTTGAACCTTTGATTGGCAGAGCAGTTTTGAAGCACTCTTTTTGTTGAATCTACAATTGGACATTTGGAGTGCATTGAGGACTATGGTGGAAAAGGAAATATCTTCACATAAAAACTTGACAGAAGCATTCTCAGAAACTTGTTTTTGATGTTTGCATTCAACTCACTGAGTTGAACATACCTTTTTATAGAGCAGTTTATAAACACTCTTTTCGTAGTTTCTGCAAGTGGATATTTGTTCTGTTTAGGCCTTCGTTGGAAATGGGAATATCTTCACAAAAAAACCAGACAGAAGCATTCTCAGAGAGTCTTCTTTGTGATGTGTGCATTCAACTCACAGAGTTGAACCTTTCTTTTAATAGAGCAATTTTGGAACACTCTTTTTGTAGAATCTGCAAGTGGACATTTTGAAAGCTTTGAGGCCTATGATGAAAAATGAACTATCTTCACATAAATACTAGACAGAAGCATTGTCAGAACCTTCTTTGTGATGGTTGCATTCAACTCACAAGGTTGAACATACCTTTTCATAGAGCAGTTTTGAAACACTCTTTTCGTAGAATCTGCAAGTGAATATTTGGACTGCTTTGAGGCTTTCGTTGGAAACGGGAATATATTCACATAAAAACTAGACAGAAGCATTCTGAGAAACCTCTTTGTGATGTGTGCATTCAACTCACAGAGTTGAACCTTTCTTTTGACAGAGCAGTTTTGAAACACTCTTTTTGTAGAATCTGCCAGTGGACATTTGGAGAGCTTTGAGGCCTATGGTGGAAAAGGAAATATCTTCACATATAAAGTAGACAGAAGCTTTCTCAGAAACTTCTTTTTGATGTTTGCCGTAAACACACAGAGTTGAAAATGCATATTCATAGAGCACATTTGAAAAAATTTTTTGTTGAATCTACAAGTGGATATCTGTACTGCTATGAGGCCTTCGTTGGAAACGGTAATATCTTCACATTAAAACTAGACAGAAGCATTCTAAGAAACTTCTTTGTGATGTGTGTCATTTGACTCACAATGTTGAACCTTTCTTCTGATAGAGCAGTTTTGAAACACTCTTTTTGTAGAATCTGCCAGAGGACATTTGAAAAGCTTTGAGACCTTTGGTGGAAAAAGAAATAACTTCACATAACTACTAGACAAAAGCATTCTCAGAAACTACTTTGTGATGTTTGCATTAAACTCACAGAGTTGAGCATACCTTTTCTTAGAGCAGTTTTGAGACACTCTTTTCGTAGAATCTGCAAATGGATATTTTTACTGCTTTTAAGCATTCGTTGGAAACGGGAATATCCTCATATAAAAACTAGACAGAAGCATTCTCAGAAACTTCTTTTTGTTGTTTGCATTCAACTCACAGATTTGAACCTTTCTTATGTTAGAGCAGTTTGGAAACACTGTTTTTGTATAATCTGCAAGTGGATATTTGGACTGCTTTGAGGCATCGTCGGAAAAGGGAATATCTTCACATAAAAACTAGACAGAAGCATTCTGAGAAACTTCTTTGTGATGTGTGCATTCAACTCACAGAGTTTAACACACGTTTTCATAGAGCCATTTTGAAATGCATAATTTGACTGCTTTGAGGCCTTCTATGGAAACGGAAATATCTTCAAATAAAAACTAGACAGAAGTATTCTGAGAAACTTCTTCTAGATGTGTGCATTCAGCTAGCAGATTTGAACATTCCTTTTGATAGAGCAGTTTTGAAACACTATTTTTTTAGAATCTGCAGGTGGACTTTTGGAGAGCTTTGAGACCAACGGTGGAAAGGAAATATCTACACATAAAAACTAGACAGAAGGATTCTCAGAAACTTCTTTGTAATGTTTGCATTCAACTCACAAAGTTGAACATACCTTTCCATAGAGCAGTTTTGAAACACTCTTTTCGCAGAATCTGCAAGTAGATATTTGGACCCCTTTGAGGCCTACGTTGTAAACGGGAATACCTTCACATAAAAACTAGACCGAAGCATTCTCAGAAAAGTCTTTGTGATGTGTGCATTCAAGTCACAGAGTTGAATCTTTCTTTTGATAGAGCAGTTTTGAAACACTCTTTTTGTAGAATCTGCCAGGGCACATTTAGATAGCTTTGAGGCCCATGGTGGAAAAGGAAATATCATCACATAAAAACTAAACAGAAGCATTCTCAGAAACTTCTTTGTGATGTTTGCGTTCAACTCACAGAGTTGAACATACCTTTTAATAGAGCAGTTTTGAAACACTCATTTTGTAGAATCTGCAAGTGGATATTTGGAGAGCTTTGAGGCCTATGGTGGAAAGGAAATATCTTCACATAAAAACTAGACAGAAGCATTCTCAGAAACTACTTTGTGATGGCTGAATTCGACTCACAGTGTTGAACATACCTTTTCATACAGAAGTTTTGAAACACTCTTTTCGTAGAATCTGCAAGTGGATATTAGGACTGCTTTGAGGCCTTCCTTGGAAACGGGAATATCTTCACATAAAAACTAGACAGAAGCATTCTCAAAAACTTCTTTGTGATATGTGCAGTCAACTCACAGAGTTGACCCTTCCATTGATAGAGCAGTTTTGAAACACTCTTTTTGTACGATCTGCAAGGGGACATTTGGAGAGCTTTGAGGCCTATGGTGGAAAGGAAATATCTTCACATAAAAACTAGACAGAAGCATTCTCAGAAACTACTTTGTGATGGCTGAATTCGACTCACAGTGTTGAACATATCTTTTCATACAGAAGTTTTGAAACACTCTTTTCGTAGAATCTGCAAGTGGATATTAGGACTGCTTTGAGGCCTTCCTTGGAAACGGGAATATCTTCACATAAAAACTAGACAGAAGCATTCTCAAAAACTTCTTTGTGATATGTGCAGTCAACTCACAGAGTTGACCCTTCCAATTGATAGAGCAGTTTTGAAACACTCTTTTTGTAGGATCTGCAAGGGGACATTTGGATAGCTTTGAGGCCTGTGGTGGAAAAGGAAATATCTTCACATAAAAACCAGACCGAAGCATTCTCAGAAACTTCTTTTTGATGTTTGCATTCAACTCACAGAGTTGAACATGCCTTTTCATAGAGCGGTTTTGACACACTCTTTTCGCAAAATCTGCAAGTGGATATTTGGACTGTTTTGAGGCCTTCATTGGAAATGGGAATATCTTCACATAAAAGCTAGACAACAGTATGCTCAGAAATTTCTTTGTGATGTGTGCATTCAACTCACAGAGTTGAAACTTTCTTTTGATAGAGCAGTTTTGAAATACTCTTTTTGTAGAATCTGCAGGTGGATATTTGGAGAACTTTGAGGACAATGGTGGAAAAGGAAATATCTACGCATAAAAAACAGACAGAATAATTCTCAGAAACTTTGTAGTGATGTTTGCATTCAACTCACAAAGTTGAATATATCTTTCATAAAGCAGTTTTGAAACACTCTTCGTAGAATCTGCAAGTGGACATTTGGGGAGCTTTGAGAACTATGGTGGAAAAGGAAATGTCTTCACATAAAAACTAGAGAGAAGCATTTGCAGATACTTCCTTGTGATATCTGCATTCAACTCACGGAGTTGAATTTTTCTTCTGATAAAGCAGTTTTGAAACACTCTTTTTGTAGTATCTGCAAGTGGACATTTGAAGAGTTTTGAGGCCTATGGTAGAAAAGCAAATATCTTCACAGAAATACTAGTCAGAAGCATTCTCAGAAACTTCTTTTGATGTTTGAATTCAACTCACAGAGTTGAACATACCTGTTCATAGAGCAGTTTTCAAACACTCTTTTCGTAGAATCTGCATGTGGATGTTTGGACTGCTTTGAGGCATTCGTTGGAAACGGGAATATCTTCACATAAAAACTAGAGAGAAGCATTCTCAGAAACTTCTTTGTGATGTGTGCATTCAACACACGGAGTTGAACATACCTTTTCATAAAGAAGTTTTGAAACACTCTTTTTGTAGAATCTGCAAGTGGATATTTGGACTCCTTTGAGGTCTTCATTGGAAACGGGAATATCTTCACATTAAAACTAGAGAAGCATTCTCAGAAACTTCTTTGTAATGTGTGCACTCAACTCACAAAGTCGAACCTTTCTTTTAATATAACAGTTTTGAAACACTCTTTTTGTGGAATCTGCAAGTGGACATTTGGAGAGCTTTGAGGCCTATGGCTGAAAAGGAAATATCTTCACATAAGAACTAGACAGAAGCATTTTCAGAAACTTCTTTGTGATGTTTACGTTCAACACAGGGTTGAACATACCTTTTCATAGAGCAGTTCTGAAACACTCTTTTCATTGAATCTGCAAGTGCATATTTGGACTGCTTTGAGGTCATCGTTGGAAATGGGAATATCTTTACAAAAAACTAGACAGAAGCATTTTCAGAAACTCCTTTGTGATGTGTGCATTCAACTCTCAGTGTTGAACATTTCTTTTGACGGAGCAGTTTTGAAACTCTCTTTTTGTAGAATCTGCAAGTGGACATTTGGAGAGCTTTAAGGCCTACGGTGGAAAAGGAAATATCTTCACATAAAAACTAGACAGAAGCATTCTCAGAAACATCTTTGTAATGTTTGCATTCAACTCACAGATTTGAACATACCTTTTCATAGAGGAGGTTTGAAACACTCTTTTCATAGAATCTGCAAGTGGATATTTGGACTGCTTTGAGGCCGTCGTTGGAAACGGGAATATCTACACATAAAAACTAGACAGAAGCATTCTCAGAATCTACTTTGTGATGTGTGTATTCAACTCAAAGAGTTGAAAATTTCTTTTGGTAGAGCAGTTTTGAAACACCCTTTTTGTAGAATCTGCAAGTGGACATTTGGAGAGCTTTGAGGCCTATGGTGGAAAAGGAAATATCTTCACATAAAAACCAGACAGAAGCATTCTCAGAAACTTCTTTGTGATGTTTGCATTCAACTCACAGAGTTGAAATTACCTTTTCATAGAGCAATTTTGAAACACTCTTGTCATAGAATCTTCAAGTGGTTATTTGGACTGCTTCGAGGATTTTGTTAGAAATGGGAACATATTCACATAAAAAACAGACAAAAGCATTCTCAGAAACTTCTTTGTGAAGTGTGTTTTCAACTCACAGAGTTGAACCTTTCTTTTGATAGAGCAGTTTTGAAACAATCTTTTTGTAGTATCTGCAAGTGGACATTAGGAGAGCTTTGAGACCTACGGTGGAAAAGGAAATATATTCCCATAAAAACTAGACAGAAGCATTCTTAGAAACTTCTTTGTGATGTTTGCATTGAACTCACAGAGTTGAAATTACCTTTTCATAGAGCAATTTTGAAACACTATTTTCCTAACATGTGCAATTGGATATTTGGACTGCTTTGAGGCCTTCGTTAGAAAAGGGAATATCTTCACATAAAAACAAGACATAAGCATTCTCAGAAACTTCTTTGTGATGTGTGCATTCAGCTGACAGAGTTCAACCTTTCTTTTGATAGAGCAGTTTTGAAACACACCTTTTGTAGTATCTGCAAGTGGACATTTGGAAAACTTTGAAGCCTATGGTGTAAAAGGAAATATCTTCACATAAAAACTGGACATAAGCAGTCTCAGAAACGTTTTTGTGATGTTTGCATTCAACTCACAGAGTTGAACATACCTTTTAATAGAGCAGTTTTGAAACATTCTTTTCGTAGAATCTGCAAGTGGATATTTTGACTGCTTTTAGGCCTTCATTGGAAACGGGAATATACTCACATGAAAACTTGACAGAAGCATTCTCCGAAACTTCTTTGTGATGTCTGCATTCAACTCACCAATTTGAACCTTTCTTATGATAGAGCAGATTTGAAACACTCTTTTCGTAGAATCTGCAGGTGGATATTTGGACTGCTTTGAGGCCTTCATTGGAAACGGGAATATCTTCTCATATAAACTAGACAGAAGCATTCTGAGAAACTTATTTGTAATGTGTGATTTCTAATCACATAGTTGAACATTTCCTTTGATAGAGCAGTTTTCAAACACTCTTTTTGTGGTGTCTTCAAGTGGACATTTGGAGAGCTTTGAGGCCTATGGTGGAAAAGGAATTAACTTCACGTCAAAATTAGACAGAAGCATTCTCAGAAACTTCTTTGTGATGTTTGCATTCAACTCACAGAGTTGAACACACCTTTTCATAGAGCAGTTTTGATATACTCTTTTCGTAGAATCTGCAATTGGATATTTGGACTGCTTTGAGGCCTTCGTTGGAAATGGGAATATCTTTACATAAAAGCTCGACAGAAGCATTCTCAGGAAGTTCTTTTTGATGTGTGCATTAAACTCAGAGTTGAACCTTTCTTTTGATACAGCATTTTTGAAACACTCTTTTTGTAGAATCTGAAAGTGGACTTTTGGAGATATTTGAGGCCTATGGTGGAAAAGGAAATGTCATCACATAAAAACTAGACAGAAGCATTCCCTGAAACTTCTTTGTGATGTTTGCATTCAACTCAGAGTGTTGAACATACCTTTTCATAGAGCAGTTTTAAAACACTCTTTTTGTAGAATCTGCAAGTGTATATTTTGACTGCTTTGAGGCCTTTGTTGGAAACGGGAATATCTTCACATAAAAACTAGACAGAAGCATTCTCAGAAAGTACTTTGTGATATGCGCCTCAACGCGCAGATTTGAACCTTTCTTTGATAGAGCAGCTTTGAGGCACTCTTTTTGTAGAATCTGCGGGGGAGTTTTGGAAAGCTTTGAGGCCAATGGTTGAAAAGGAAATATCTTCACAGAAAACCGAGGCAGATGCATTCTCATAAACTTCTTTGTGATGTTTACATTCAACTAACAGAGTTGAACATAACTTTTCATAGAGCAGTTTTGAAACCCTCTTTTCGAAGAATCTGCAAATGCATATTTGGACTGCCTTGACGCCTTTGTTGGAAATGGGAATATCTTCACATAAAAACTAGACAGAAGCATTCTCAGAAACTTCATTGTGATGTGTGCATTCAACTCACAGAGTTGAACATTTCTTTTGATAGAGCAGCTTTGAAACACTCTGTTGGTAGAATCTGCAAGTGCACATTTCGAGAACTTTGAGGCCTACGGTGGAAAAGGAAATATATTCACATAAAAACTAGTCAGAAGCATTCTCAGAAACTTCTTTTTGATGACTGCATTCAACTCAATGAGTTGAACATATCTTTTCATAGAGCAGATTTGTAATACTGTTTTTGTAAAATCTGCATGTGGCTATTTTGACTGCTTTGAAGCCTTATTTGGAAACGGGAATATCTTCACATAAAAACTAGACATAAGCATTCTCAGAAACTTCTTTGTTATGTGTGCATTCAACTCACAGTGTTAAACATACGTTTTCATAGAGAAGTTTTTAAACACTCTTTTCGTAGAATCTGCAAGTGGATATTTGGACTGCTTTGAGGTATTCGTCGGAAACGAGAATATCTTCACAAAAAAAACAAGACAGAAGCATTCTCAGAAACTTCTTTGTGACGTGTGCATTCAACTCACAGAGTTGAACATACCTTTTCATAGAGCAATTTTGAAACACTCTTTTTGTAGAATGTGTAAGTGGATATTTGGACTGCTTTGGGGCCTTTGTTGGAAAAGTTAATATCTTCACATAAAAACAAGATAGAAGCATTCTCAGAAACATTTTTGTGATGTGTGCTTTCAACTCACACAGTTGAACATAACCTTTTCATAGAGCAGTTTTGAAACACTGTTTTCGTAGAATCTGCAAGTCGATATTTGGACTGCTTTGTGGCCTTCGCTTCAAACGGGAATGTCTTCAAATAGAAACTAGACAGAAGGATTCTCAGAAACTTTTTTGTGATGTGTGCATTCAACTCACAGAGGTGCACAAACCTTTTCTTAAAGCAGTTTTGAAAAACACTTTTCATAAAATCTGCAAGTGGATATTTAGACTGTTTTGAGGCCTTCTTTGGAAACGGGAATATCTTCACATTAACCGTAGACAGAAGCATTCTCGGCAACTTCTTTGTGATGTGTGCATTCAACTCACAGATTTCAACCTTTCTTTTGATAGAGCTGTTTTGAAACTCTCTTTTTGTAGAATCCGCAAGTGGACATTTGGAAAGCTTTGAGTCCTATGGTGGAAAATGATATATCTTCACATAAAAACTAGACAGAAGCAGTCTCAGAAACTTCTTTGTGATGTTTGCACTTAACTCACAGAGTCGAACATACCTTTTAATAGAGCAGTTTTGAAACACTCTTTTTGAAGAATCTGCATGTGTATATTTGGACTGCTTTGAGGCCGTCGTTGGAAATTGGAAAAAGTTCACATAAAAACTAGACAGAAGCACTCTCAGAAACTTCTTCGTGACGTTTGCAGTCAACTCACAGAGTTCAAACTTTCTTTTGATAGAGCAGTTTTGAAACACACTTTTGGTAGAATCTGCAAAGTGGACATTTGGAAAACTTTGAGGCCTATGGTGGAAAAGGAAATATCTTCACATAAAAACCAGATGGAAGCATTCTCAGAAACTTCTTTGTGATGTTTGCGTTCAACTCACAGAGTTGAACATACCTTCTCATAGAGCAGTTTTGAAACAGTATTTTCGTAGAATCTGCCACTGGATATTTGGACTGCTTTGAGTCCTTCGTTGACAACGGGAAAACTTTCACATAAAAACTAGACAGAAGCATTCTCAGAAACGCCTTTTGATGTTTGCATATAACTCTCAGAGTTGAACATTTCTTTTGATAGAGCAGTTTTGAAACACTCTTTTTGTAGGATCTGCAAGTGGACATTTGGAGAGCTTTGAAGCCAACGGTAGGGAAGGAAATATCTTCACATAAAAAATAGACAGAAGCCTTCTCAGAAACTTCTTTGTGATGTTTGCCTTCAACACATAGATTTGAACATATCTGCTCATAGAGCAGTTATGAAGCACTATTTTCGTAGAATCTGCAGGTGGATATTTGGACTGCTTTGAGTCCTTCGAGGGAAATGGGAATATCTTCACATAAAAACTAGACAGAAGCATTCTCAGAAACTTCTTTGTGATATGTGCATTCAACTCACAGAGTTGAACCTTTCTTTTGATAGAGCATTTTTGAAACACTCTTTTTGTGGAATCTGCAAGTGGACATTCGGAGAGCTTTGAGGCCTATGGTGGAAAAGGAAATATACTCACATAAGAACTAGACAGAAGCATTCTCAGAAACTTCTTTGTGATGTGTGCATTCAACTCACAGACTTGAAAATACATTTTCATAGAGAAGTTTTGAAACACTCTTTTCGTAGAATCTGCAAGTGGATATTTGGACTGCTTTGAGACCTTTGTCGGAAATGGGAATATCTTAAAAAAAAAAAAAAAAACTAGACAGAAGAAATCTCAGAAACTTCTTTGTGATGTGTGCATTCAACTCATAGAGTTGAATATACCTTTTCATTGAGCGGGATTGAAACACTCTTTAAGTAGAATCTGCAAGTGGATATTTGGACTGCTTTGAGGCCTTCGTTGGAAATGGGAATATCTTCACATAAAACCTAGACAGAAGCATTCTCAGAAACTTCTTTGTGATGTGTGCATTCAACTCACAGAGTTGAACCTTTCTTTTGATAGAGTAGTTTTGAAACACTGTTTTTGTAGACTCTGCAAGTGGACGTTTTCAAATTTTGAGGCCTATGATGGAAAAGGAAATATCTTCACTTAAAAACCAGAGTGCAGCATTCTCAGAAACTTCTTTGAATGATTGCATTCAACTCACAGAGATGAACAAC